>NW_025791765.1:600000-777543 GCF_000001405.40 Homo sapiens | reverse complement strand
AAAAACTGCAGTACCTGCGAAGTGCAGTAAAGCAAAGCACAATAAAATGAGATATGCTGTATGTTTTGAAGATACACCCAACAGGATTTCCTGATGTGGGATTTGAGAGAAAGAGAAGAGTCAAAATTGACTCTAGAATTTTGTCCTGAGCAACTAGAAGGACAGAGTTGAGTCAGCTGAATTGAAGAAGGCAGAGGGTAGAACGGGTTTCAGAGGTACAATCAGTAGTTCAATTTGGACATGTTAGATTTCAGGTATCTCCTAGATATCCAAGAGGAGGTGGCAAATAGGCAGATAGTATTCGAGTTTGGTATATGAGAACTCGACTAGAAATAGAAATTTAGGAGTCACTAGTGTATATCTGAAGCCATGGATCTGGATGAGATCACCAAGGAAGGAAAAAGCCCAGGGACTGAGCTATGGTACAGTGCTGACTTGGGAAAATTACGGTTTCTTAGTGGTATTACTAGAAACTCAGATCTCCTATCCATCATCTACATACTAGATGTCCAGTTCCGATAGTGGCAGAAAACTGCACTAAAAATTAAACATTCCATGGTGATTTTTCTAACTCTTTGGAGTTTAGATGGGCCTTAAAAGGGTATTGTTTGAATATAGACATTTTTAAATCAAATTAAGTTCTCATAAAAACCTTAAAGGAAACCAGTTTTCCTCTGGATACATTTTCAGTAATAAACATAGGCCTTATGAATCTCTTCATTGACACTAGAACTGTTCTTGGGTAGGAATACCATAATTCTAAAACTTTCACCTTTTTTTAGAGAACATTTTAGATTTTTTTTAGGTGGATACACAGCATTTATTGTACTAATTTTGCTACTGTTTTTTTTCTTTCAACTTTTATTTTAAGTTCAGGGATACATGTGCAGGATGTGCAGGTTCGTTACATAGGTAAATGTTTTTTTCACATCTTTTATATCAGAAATTGAGACCCATGTTACAGTCAAGGGCACCTTACAGTCATGGTCAGCCTGGATTAAGGGTGTGTTTTTCCAGAGAGGATGGCACTGGTGGTCTCAACACTACCAAGGAAACATTAAATTGTCTGCTTGAGGTTTTTTTAGACCACTGGTATGTATTCAGACCACACACCTCTATGAGTACTGATATATAGCGCAAATTCTAAGAATAAGTTAGTTTTTCTCCCTTCCTGCGGTGCCCAGAATGACTCACATAAGTTTTCTTCACTGCCCCTTTCTGTGGGTCAGGTTTGTACTTGTCATCCTCACTCCTTGTTTTATCTGAAGATCTGTTAGGTCTGCATTTTTGAACATTCTCTTTTTTTTCTTTTTCTCATTCTTGGTATGGTATAAAACATCTGTATTACAAGCACTGGCATCTTAGATGGGAAAATGATATTGTCATGTTTTGTTTTGTTTTGTTTTTTTCATACTGCCGGAGAGTCCTCTCTATGTCTCTCAGTGTCAGTTCTGTGAATCCTTATATTGTCAGAGGGAGTTAGGAAGGTGATAAAAGGGTGACCAGTCATATGATTCTGTAGAATTAAATTCACAACAATAAAAAGTGTGGGTGGACTGCCTGAACTCAGTGATATTATCTACTTCATTTCAAGATTTTGTTGTTTTAAAGTTAATTTGGCTTTAATCTTGCCCACCAAGAGTTAAACCTGAACATTCAATTATTTGTTCTTGCCCCAGGGGAACATGAACACTGAGACCCTTATGAAAAAAGGTCCAGGCTAAAATATGCTTGAGTGAATCCGCAACCCTCGTGGATTCACCCAAAACAGTAAAAAAAAAAAAAAAAAAAAAAAGAGAGAGAGAGATATACACACACAGACACACACATATATATACATAGACACACTGATGTATTTAATATATATTTTATATGTATTTGTTTTTAAATTATAGTATACTTGCAGTGAAATTCACCCTTTTAGTGTATAGTTCTGAGTTTTGACAAACCCATAAGGTCATATAATCAACAATTTGGTCAACTCAAACCACTGAGTGTAGCCTATTCCAGAAGACTGTATTAATGGAACCATGTAGCATATAGCATTTTTAGTCTGGCTTCTTTCTTTTAGCATAATGCATTTCATATTGGTTGGTGTAGTAGGCTGTATCAGTTCTTTGTACCACTTTATTATTATGGAATAGTATTTCATTGGCTGGCGGTGTCACTGTGTGGTTTATTCATTCACTAGTTGAAGACTTTTGGGGTGTTTCCAGTTTGGAGTTATTATAAATAAACTCACTGTAAATATTTACCTACAGATTTTAACAGTTTTTTATAACAACTGTTCCAGTTTGTATTCCCATGAGAAACATGAGAGTTTTGGTTGCTCCACATCCTTATTAGCACTCTGTATTGTGAGGTTTGGGTTTTTTGTGATGCGAGTCACTCAGCTAGGTGTACAGTGTTAGGCCATTTTTATCTTAATTTGCATTCTCCAGTGAAAATTGATTTTGAGCATCTTTTTATTTGCCATCCATATGTTTTCTTTGGTGAAGTGTCTGTTCAGTTCTTTGCCTGTTTTTTAAGTTGAGTTGTTTGTTTTCTCATTGAGTTCGTGAGAGTTCCTTATGTGTTCAGGATACAAGTCTTTCTTGAGATATGTGATTTGCAAGTCTTTTCTTCCAGTTTGTGTCATACCTTTTCATTCTTTTTATATAATATTTGAAAGAGCAGAAGTTTATAATTTTCATGGTGTCCAGTTTATCAAATTGTTCTTTTATGGGTCATGCTTTGGGAGTTGTAGCTAGGAAATCTTTGCCTAATCCAAAGTCACAAAGATTTTCTCCTTTTTTTTTCCTAGAAGTACAGCTGGCCCTGTGTATCCATGAGCTTCTCATCCATGGATTCAGTCAACTGCAGGTCAAAACTATTTGAGAAAAAAAAAATAGTGCTTCTGTACTGAACAAGACTTTTCTTGTCTGTACATGTTCAAACAAATAATACAGTATAAACTACTTACATAGCATTTACATTGTATTAAGTATTACAAGTAATGTAGAGATTATTTAAAGTATCCCCAGGAGATACGTGCATAGCCAGGAGGATAGGCATAGGTTATATGCAAATGCTACATTGTTTTTTAGCAGAGACTTCAGCAACCACAGATGTTGGTATCTGCATGAAGTCCTGGAGCCAATCCCACAGATACTGAGGGACAACCATAATAGTTTTAGATTTTATATTTAGATCTACAGTCCATTTTTAGCTACTGTTTGTTTATGGTATAAGATATGGATTGAGGATTGTTTTGTTTTGTGTGTGGATATTCATTGGTTCCTGGACTGTTGGTTGAAAACAACTATTCTTTTTCATTGAAATCCCACTGTACTTTTGTTGAAAGTCAGTTGACCTTGTATGTGTGAGTCTGGTTTTGGACTCTTCACTATGTTCTAATACGTATCTAATAGACTCTGAAATACCTGTCCTTTCACCAGCCCATACTGTTTTGATAACTGTGGCTTTATATTAATTCTTAGAATTAGATACTATGAATCCTCCAATTTTGATTTTCTCTTTCAGAATTGCTTTGGCTTTCCTTATTTCCTTTCTTTATCATCTAAATTTTAGAATCAGCGTGTCAGTTTCTTTAAAAAAAAATACTGCTGAGTTTTTTTTATAATGTTCTTTTGAATTAACTTTAAAGATGTACAGAAAAGTAATACTCTCCATATATTCCTCACTCTAACATTCTTCTGATGTTAACATCTTATATAATCATAGTACAATTTTCAAACCAGGAAACTAGCATTAGTACGATACCATTAACTAAAGAACTTATATGAATTTCATCAGTTTTTCTATCAGTGTACTGCTTTTTCTGTTTTAGGATCCTATTTCCTATTGCATTTAGTTGTTACTTCTCCTTAGACTGAATTTTGGTTCCACTTGCATTAGATATATAAATCCATTTCAGGAGAACTAACATCTAATATTGAGTCTTCTAACCCATGAACACAATATTTTCATTAATTTGTCTTCTTCAGTTACTTTCAGTAGTGTTTTATAGTTTTCAGCTTACAGAACTTGTATGTTATTAGATTTATACCTCAGTATTTCTTTGTGTGTGTGTTATCCTAAATAGTACGTTTTTAAAAATTAGAATTCCACTTGTTCATTGCTAGTATATGGAGATACAATTGATCATTATATGTTGACCTTGATTCCCATGACTTTGTTAAACTCTTTTAGGAGGATTTTTATAGATATTTTTAGGGATTTTTCTGTGTAGAAAGCCATGTTATCTGAATAAAAACAGATTTTTCTTCTGTACTAATGTGTAGTGCCTTTTATCTCTTTTTCGCACTTCTTTGCACTTTATTTTTGAGACCGAATCTCACTCTGTCACCAGGCTGGAGTGCAGTGGCGCAATCTCTGCTCACTGCAACCTCTGTCTCCCGGGTTCAAGCGACTCTCCTGCCTCGGCCCCCCCCCCCCCCCCCAGTAGCTGGGACTACAGGCACGCGCCATCACACCCAACTAATTTTTGTGTTTTTAGTAGAGGTGGGGTTTCACCATGTTGGCCAGGATGGTCTCAATCTGTTGACCTTGTGATCCGCCCACCTCGGCCTCCCAAATTGCTGGGATTACAGGCGTGAGCCACCGCGCCGGCCCTCTTTGCACGTCCAATACAGTGTTAGATAGCTGTCATAAGAGAGGGCATCCTTGCCTTGTTTTAAATTTTGGAGGAAAAGCATTCAATCATTCACCATTAAATGCTGTGGTAGCTCCTAGGGCAGGAGTGTCCAATCTTTGCTTCCCTGGGGCACATTGGAAGAAGAAGAATTGTCTTGGGCCACACATAAAATACACTAATGATAGCTTTAAAATAAAAAGGCACCAAAAAACTTAATGTTTTAAGAAAGTTTACAAATTTGTGTTGGGCCCAATTCAAGCTATCCTGGGCTGCATGCAGCCCATGGGCTGCAGGATGGACAAGCTTCTTTAGGGTTTTTGTAGGTGTTCTTTATAATATTGAGGGAGTTCTCTTCTATTGACTTAGTTTACTGAGATTTTAAATCATGACTTGATATTCAATTTTGTCAAATTATATGCTGCTGTTGAGATGATCTTGTGCTTTTTCTTTAGTCTGTTAAGTAAATTACATTGATTTGATTTTTGAATGTTGAACTAGAATTGCATTTCTAGGTTAAAAACTACTTGCTCATGATGTGTTGCCCGTTTTATATCTTGCCTCGATTCAGTTTGCCGTACTTTGTGGAAAGTTGTGTTTCTATGTTTACGAAGGATATTGGCTTATACTTTTCAAGTCTTTATGTGGTCCTGATTCAGGGTAATGCTGAATTAGGAATGTTCTCTCCTGTATGTCGGAAAGTTTATGTAACGTAGGTATTATTTCTTTCTTAAATGGTTGGTAGAGAATTCTTTTCCACGAGTGAAATCATTTAAGCTCGGGCTTTTCTTTGTGGGAAGATTTTAAACCACAAATTAAATTTTAACTGTGTGCACGACTATTTCAGTTTGAGTGAGCTTTGGCAGATTGTGTCAGATCTAGCCGACTGTCAAAGAATGTGTCCATTTCTCCTAGCTGTTAAATTTGTGGGCATGGAGTTGCTTGTAATACTCCTTTATCATTCTTTTTGTGTGTAAAGTGTATGCAATGATGTCCACATTTTAGTTCCTTATATTTTTGACTTCTCCCTTTTTATCACAGTCACTCTCTGTAGAGTTTTATCCATTTTATGGACTTTTTGAGGCACCAGCTTCGGTTTTATTGATTTTTTTTTTTTTTTGCTACTTTCTGTTTTCTATTTCATTAATTTTTACTCTTTATTTTCCTTCCTTTTGCTTACTCTGGGTTTAATTTATTCTTTTTCTAGTGTCTCAAAACAGAAATGTAGATTATTGATGTGAAACATTTCTGTTCAAAATAAGCATGTAATGCTATAAATTTTCTTCCAAGTATTGCTTTACCTGCAGCCTACAGATTTTAATATTGTGCTTTCATTTCCAATCAATTCAAAATATTTTATAATTTCTCTTGTTACTACTCATTTCACCCGTGGCTTATTTTAGAAGTATGTTGTTGAATTTCAGACTTTTTGAGGGTTTGCCGGGTATCTTTCTGTTGCTAATTTCTGGCTCAGGTGTGAATAGCACCAGTGTCTACAGCTTCCAGGGCTTTTGTGCTCCCGTGCAAGTTCACACAGTCAACCTCTAGCAATGTGTAAACATGTTAGCTGCATTTCTAGCTGACACTCCTGTATGATAGCCTCATCTTCTTCCCTTCTCTGCCATGGGTGAGCCAGTATTCCCATTCTATCTGTCCTTGGAGGTGCTTGTCTTTTCTACGATTTCAGGCTAGTTGATAATCTCACTCTGTGATGGGTTCAAGAAAAGTTGTGAATTATTGTAATTATTCTTTTGTTGCACTACATTACCGTAATATAATGCAACAAAAGAATAATTACAATAATTCACAACTTGTAAGTTACTCTTTTGTTGGTGGTAATGTAGGAGACATACTCTCGCTTTCTTCAGACTAAGGTGAAGCCAGAGTCTTACTACCATGTATTTTGAGCTATCATTTAGGTAGCATTTTAGAGTTCTAGCCATAGAGGCAGAATGAGAGAGGTTGATGGCTTTACATATTAAAATGCACTTTAAGGCTTTGTTTCAGGGCAGAACCGCAATTTCAGTCTCTTGAACATGGGAGTAGCCCTATTGTTTTGTGGTAATAACATTTTATTTTACTAACTATAGTGACATTCTTAATCTGCAGAAAGTAACAGGAGTGAGTTCCTGCACATACATTCACCCCTGCCTTCTTTCCTATTTAAGTTGCTGGGACATTTTGTTCCTTGTGTGGATGGAAGGCAGATTTCATAAGGTTGAGGCCTGGGCTTATTCTTTGGACTAAAACAAGTCACTGCTTAGTAGTACAGCAGTATATCTATATGAAAACTCAGCCTCAACGCAACTCCTATCTGATTGTCTCATCGTGGAACAGCCTGTAATTAGGTACTTCATGCCAGCCTAGTGATTGTTAAATGAACAGAATCCAGGAAACCATCTGTTGTACAAGGCTGTGGCTGGTAATTGACAAAGATATGTGACTGTAGACATTCAATATGGAAGACATCTTTTTAATTATTTTCCACTGCTAACTTAAAGCTTAAACTTTTAAAGGAAAAACTAGTTTATGGAAGTGATTCTAAGAAACTTGTTTAAGGAACTTGAGCTGTATAATTTTTTTTCTTGTTACAAATTTAACTTTATTTTCTGTTTCAGAAAATTCTTCCAGGAGGAAATACATCATTTGATGTAGTTTTTCTTGCAAGAGTAGTAGGAAATGTAGAAAATACTTTATTTATTAATACATCTAATCATGGGGTATTTACTTACCAGGTAAGAACCAGAATTAAAACTTATTTTATACAATATAATCATTACCTCTGCCTTATCATATGACAGCCTTTTAAGAACTCAGGAACTCAAAGGATAATAGAAAATGTAGGAGTTTAGACTTAGAGCATTTTTATACTTACAGTGAATATCTCTATTCAATATCTCTATTCAAATCAGACTGAACAGGTGATTTTAAAGCAACAGCTAAAGTGTTAATTTAAGATTGACAAAAGAATAGTGAAAAAATATTTTCATGCTGACTTATAAAATTTTGTTTAATTTTTACTTTTACACACTTATGAAGCATACTTGATAATAGTGTCAAGATTAAAACATTCATGTCTACTTTCCTTTAGTAGGTATTTTTTGATAAACTTATTTTTACATAGAATTTTGGTTTAGGTCATTAAAGAAAGTTAATGTATATAGGAGTCATATAGTAAATCTTTTTGTATATCAGCCATTATTCTGTTTGTGAATCAAGATTTTTATATGTCAGGACTAAGGCTGGGTATGGTAGCTCACACCTGTAATCCCAGCACTTTGGGAGGCCAAGGTGGGAGGATCACTTGAAGCCAGGAGTTCGAGACCAGCCTGGGCAACAAAGCAAGACCTCATCTCTACAAAAAACATTTTTATAAATTAACTGGGCACAGTGGTGAGCACTTGTAGTCTCAGCTACTCGGGAGGCTGAAGTGGGAGGATCGCTTGAGCCCAAGAGTTCAAGGCCACAGTGAACTATGATTACACCACTGTACTCCACCTTGGGTGACAGATCAAGACCACATCTCTAAATGAAGAAAAACAAAGATTCTTAACAATAATTGCTCATATTTGTCCAGCAGTGTACTATACATGCCCTTCTACCTATGTTATAGGTACAGTTATTCTTGAAGTTTTAAAAGGTTAAATCATTTGCCCAAGTCATGCTATTAGTAAGTTGTTGAGGGGGACTCAAACTCATGTCTTTGTAAGTATAAAGACCATAATCTTTACCACTGTGCTGTGCTGCCAGTGGAACTTGAGTGTTAGCTCTGACACATTACTTTACAGTTCCTGTGCTTTTTTTTTTTTTTTTAAACATTTCCTCCCCAGTACCCATTAACTCTGACATATCATATAAAATAAGGGTCAGTCAGAGTCAGTGTTCCCTTTCAGTAAGGACTGTGTCTTCTGCTTATGTATGGTGAGTAAATCTTTAGCGGTTGCTTAGTAGGCATTCAGTACGCTGTTGATGGTTGGTTCAGTAATTTTGAAGTGCTAGACAGATCTTACCCATTTAGCATGTACGTGTTGAGTAAATGAAAAGACTATCATAAAAATGAAGGTCATTGCCCCACGATGGCATCCCACAACAGACCTAGGTGATGGCAGCCAATCTGGACTATTGAGGGTCATGATCAGGTTGTTCTCAAGGTGACCCCAATGGCCAGCTGTCTTCTTTCTTTACCTCTTCACATCTAGTCTTTCACCAAATATATCTCCAGTCTGTTTACTTCCCTCCTCCTCACTACCACTGCTGTCTTCCAGGCCACTCTCACTGGATTACACATTAGCTGTCTGAATGCCCTCCACTCTCCCCCAACACTGTCTGTTACTCACTCTCTGGCAGAGGGATTTTTTTTTTAAATCTTTTTATTGGTATCCAGTCTGTCTCCAATACTACGATGTAAGTTTCATGAGACCCAGCACATTATCTGTTTTTTTACTGTTGAATTGTTCACTATTGTATATGTGCCTAGCACCTCATAGACACTTAATAAATAGCAATATATTAATAATATCATTTGAATTACTGGTTTACCCTGCTTAGTCAACCTAGGGCCATCCCATGTGGGAATGACCTGGGGCTGGGCTTGGTATTTGAGAGGTTGTCTGGGCCGTAGATCCATCTTCTGATGGTTGGGGTCAGGAAATCTTTTGACTCCCTATTTTCTTCTTTTGTCTATTGCATGGCTTCTTGAAGGACTGTTATTCAATTTCTAATATATTAAAGAAATCATTCTAAATTCACATACATAGTCAATCAAATATGTAGCCAAATCATGTACAGAAACAACATTTGTGGGGGTTTTTTTTAAATAAAGGGATTGTTAATTTTTTATACATAAATTAGATTTGCCAGTCTCCCTAGATCAGTCAGTTATAACTAAAAATATTAATTATAAAAGCAACTAAAATTGCATTTTTTTCCTCCACTGAAACAGGTATTTGGTGTTGGAGTTCCAAATCCATATCGATTGAGGCCGTTCCTTGGGGCCAGAGTCCCTGTGAATAGCAGTTTCTCACCTATAATAAACATCCACAATCCTCACAGTGAGCCTTTACAGGTGAGTTTATGATGGTAATTTTGAATAAGCTTCATTTTGGTGGGAATTAATGCTTAGCATGAAATCTCAGTTTGTTACAGTTTCCAAGACTATTTAAAATAATAGGGTTTTATAGTGTATTGAGAGGGGTATTACTTTTAGTACAGCTTGCTGCAGTCTGAATTTTGGAATACAGCAGTCTGAATTTTGGAATACAGCAGTCTGGATTTTGAATTTTTTGAATCATTTTTAAAACGACTGTGTCTTCTCTGGTGTTATAGTTTAGGCAGCTCTGCATTTAAAGAAGAGTTTTTAGCTACACAAGGCTGCTTTTTTTCTTGCCTGTAAACACTTTCTGGCCCAATATCCATGTTTTTTAAAACAGTTCAAGTTTATTTCTGGAAATAATAAATTTTTGGTGATGGCAACCTAGAAATTAAAATTCAGGGAAAGGGTAATATAGAATTATGCTTAAAAGCAAGCTTGTTTTTTTATTTAAAAAATTCAACTTATCTTACCTAATCTTCTAGCAGTAATTGTTTTCAAGTGTGAGATTCCTCCTCACTAGCTCCTTGTCTCTTTCACAGTGGAAGTGGCTAGTGTCATTCCTTCAGAGATTTTCTGAAATCTCTACCTTACATCCTAGGGACTTAGCTGTGTGACATGTGCAGCCTCTGTGGCTTCTAGTTGTGTTGTCTGTGTTAAAAGTAGATGTGAATGCTTTCTAGAATAGTCCAGGGTGCCAGAGTTCTTTCGGACCAACACTGCAGGACTTAAAAGCAGCTTGAAAATGACAGGTGGAGGAAAAATACTATATTTTGTGGTAAGTATAGGGCTTTGGCAACTAAAATGGCTGTTGTCCCAGACCACCCTGGTATAACTGTTCATAAACAATGGAAGAGGAAATGAGGATGAACCAGGGAAATGTTCAGAGCCTGAATAGTGAAATGCTTAGAAATGATAAGTGAAAGCAGCACGAAAGAAATCTCTCCCCAACACTTGGCAACAACTGGGTGAAGATAGCCCCAGTTTTAATTTTTGTAGCTGGATGTCTGCATCACAGAAGAACCTGTTCTTATGTCCTGCTTTTCAGGTGGGAAGTATTCCCTCTTATCCTCACCATCCTTCTGTTGTTTACGTCCTTTTGATACTTTAGGTAATGGTGTAGTTTCCCTGTTCTGGCTGTTATTACAAATCTATGTAGAAACTTCAGAAATTCTTGCTGCTTTCTTTCCTGTTTTTACAAAAGACAGGGTCTCACTCTGTCACTCAAACTGGAGTGCAGTGGCACGGTCATGGTTCACTGCAGCCTTGAACTCCTGGCCTCAAGCAATCCTCCTGCCTTAGCTTCCCAAAGTGCCGAGATGACAGGCATGTGCCACTGTGCCTGGCCTCTTACTCCGTTAGACCCGACTGCATGAGTTGCCCCACTGTGCCGTAGAAGGGCTGTTAACAGGGTGCCCCAAGGGTGCTGCCTCATTGTGGTGGCCAGACCACAAGGATGGAGCTTGCAGGACTCAGCAGATGTTGGTCAGTCTACAATTGCCAGAGTTGCCTTACAGTCTGTACCTTTTCTCTTCAGCCTTTGGAGTTACCAAGCCCAGCACAGTGATCACTTCGAATTCAATTCATCTAGTCTTTTTCCAGTTAAAACATTTTAATTCAAGATTTACACAAGAGAGCAAATGGAACACCAAAGTTACTCTCTTAGAACCAAATATAGATTGTTTACCTGGGAAGACACTCTTACCCTTGTAGTCCAGTGTTACTGTGTGTCACTAGTCTTGTCAATATTACAGTAAGAAAAGATTGTAAAGCGAGAAAATGTATATCGTTTGTTGATTATACAACATAAACACATGAGTATGTTCTCCTCAGGAAAAAAATGTTAACAATTCAAACATGAATGAAGCAAAAACGTCCCTTTGAACTTCCTACTTCCCAGTCCAGCTGTCCAGCAGAACTTTCTGTGATGATGGAATAGTTCCTTTCCTGCTTTGTCCAAAACAGTAGCCGCTAGCTACGTGTGACTGTTGAGCTCTTTAATTCAGCTAGGGTGGCCAAAATGTTATTTCAACTAATTTAAATGTAAATAACCACATGTAGCTGATAGCTATTGCATAGACAGCATAGTTGCAGTCCAAGCCCTTCCTCGTGGACACCACTTTTGCCACCTTGTATGTATCATTCTAGACCTTTCTCTTGTGCATGCGTGTATGTGGGCACAGAAACATTTATTGTGGGAATTTGTTTACACATAATATATTCTGTACATAATGTTTGGCTTCCTTTTTTTCCTAAACTATACTAAATTAGAACAAATAGCACTGGACTAAAAATAAAGAATGTGTCAGGTTCCTAGTTTTAGTGTAATTATTTGTTTGACTTTGTAATTTAGACTTTTTCTGTCTCTATTTCTTTATTCATTTTCTCTGTTATCAGTAGGCGACTTTTTAATCTTCTGGGGGTTTTTTTGGTTGGTTGGTTGGTTGGTTGGTTGGTTGGTTGGTTGGTTGGTTGGTTTTCCAGACACCAGGCTGGAGTGCAGTGGTGCCATCTTGGCTTACTGCAGTCTTGACCTCCCAGGCTCAACCAATCCTTTTACCTCAGTCTCCTGAGTAGTTGGGACTACAGGTGCACGCCACCACACCTGGCTAATGTTTTTTATTTTTTTGTAGAGACAGACTCTCACTATGTTGCCTAGGCTGGCCTACAACTCCTGGGCTCAAGTGATCCCCGCTACCTTGGCCTCCCAAAGTGCCGGGATTACAGGCATGAGCCACTGAGTCTGGTCTAATCTTCTGTTTTCAAGCATTGTTATGCTTGTTTGCTTGATACTTGGAAGGATTGATGAAATAATGTGTGATGTTTTCTGGTTTTCCAGAAAAAGTTCTATAGTCATCCTATCATTTAAGGTGCTATTATTATTAACACAATAAGCACTATAGATGAGCACTGTAACAAATCAGCAGGCAAGTAATAATATACAAAGAAAATCTATAGCTTATCAGTCTTTGGTAAATGCATTACTTTTACAGCAGCAACTCCCCGGCCCCTGCCAAAAAAACAAACAAACAAAAAAAACCTTTAAGGGTCCAGGCGCAGTGGCTCATGCCTGTAATCCCAGCACTTTGGGAGGCCGAGATGGGTGGATGACGAGGTCAGGAGTTCAAGACCAGCCTGACCAACATGGTGAAACCCCATCTCTGCGAAAAATACAAAAATTAGCTGGGCGTGGAGGCATGTGCCTGTAATCCCAGCTACTCAGGAGGCTGAGGCAGGAGAATCACTTGAACCCAGGAGGCAGAGGTTGCAGTGAGCCGAGATCACACCATTGCACTCCAGCCTGAGCGACAGGGCGAGACTCCGTCTCAAAAAAAAAAAAAAAAAAAAAAAAAAAAAAAAAAAAGTTTAAGCTTAAGAATTGCCATTTTTCTTGCTTTATCCTTTTTTATTCACTCCTGGAGGACTTCTTGTGATGAAACAAGTGAACGTTTCCACCCATTCTCATACTTCACCCCAAATTTAATTGAATTAAATATATTTTTTCTTTTTAAGAATTAGGGTTAGCTTACCTTTAAAGGAAGGTCTCCTGCCTTGTGACCCATTTTGTGTATATATATTTACCCAAAAGAAAGGAAAGCAGATGACCACACCAAGACTTGTACTCAGTATCCACAGCAGCTTTCTCTTTAATGGCCAGACATTGGAAACAACTCAAATGTCCCATTAATGTGTGGATTGAAAAACTGCGGTATAGTCATCAAATAGAAGTGAACTATTAATGCATAAACAAAGTGGTAGACCTCAAAATAATTGCATTGAGCAAAAGAAGCCAGACACAAGAGTATATGTTGTATTATTCCATTTAGATAAAACTCTAGAAAATATGAGCTAGTCTGAGGTGATAGAGAGCAGATCAGTGGTTGCCTAGAAATAGGAAGGGACAGAGAAGGATGGATGGATTGCACAAGGCATGAGGAAGCTTTTGGGGATAATGGATATATTTAATATCTTAATTACAGTGATGGTTTTATGCCCAAACACATAGGTCAGGATTCATCAGGTTGTATACTTTAAATATGTATTATTTATTTTACATAAATAACTCAATAAAGCTGTTTAAAAAAAGTAAGCTTAGGCATAAGCCACAGAAATATTTTTGCTACCAGTAGAAACCACATATTTTCATGTTCCATTAGAGTTATTTTGTATATATCTCAAATATTTTTACTCTTCCCCATCTCACAATTATGGTAGTTATTTGATCCACTGCTGGCTCTTGTTATAAATGTATGGATAAAGAAGCACTTTGTGTTACTGTAAGAAATACAAAATTTATGTTTCCAAAACTTGGTAATTTTTGTAAGTGATTCCCTTTGGAAAAAAGAAAAATAAGTATCCTGTTACTTTCTAAAATCTGGTCTCTGGAACAACTATGGTACTTACACTGTTTCTAAGTTAAATTTTCAAAGTTACCTTATTTTAATTAAAAATACAACTATTGCTTACACATACAGAGCACTGAATTTAGTGATATTATACATATCCTACGTTTATATCTTTAAATGTTTTGTGATAAACAGTTAGGATGTCAGAATTATTTCTGTGTAATAGCAAGTCACCTGCTTTGAGAATATGACTTTGAACGTAGCCATCATGTGCTCTTTTGCCCCAGGTTGTAGAAATGTACTCTAGTGGAGGAGACCTTCACCTAGAACTCCCAACGGGTCAACAAGGAGGTACCAGAAAACTGTGGGTGAGTTGTAACCTAGTTTTCTCTTGTGTGTGCTCCCATGAAACCGATTATTCTTAAATTAGAAAATATTTAACTCCTTAATAGGCTTAACAAATATGGATGACTTCTCTTTAATCGTTGTCTTAATGTTAATTTATGTCAAGTATATATGAAAATTGGAGGAGGAAAGAATATAAGTAGTAATTTTTGGAAAGGGCAGTGAGTAAAATTGGTGGGAGTTCTACCCCACTACATGGAAAGAAAGTAACTTCAGCTATTCTTCCTCCGAATTATATGGGTAAAGTTGTCTCTGAGTCTGATAATTTATGATGTGCTTTACACATAAAAAAATGTAAATGATTAAAAAAATGTAGGAAGCATTCATTATGTTTTTGTTTTGTTTTTGAAGGTAAGTAATTGAATGTTCAGATTCACCATTGGTAAAGGAGATGGCATTTGCAGAGAGAACCTAGTCAAGTGCCTGCGATAACTTAGAAAAATTTTAATTCTTGAAGGTGATCTGTGTTCACCTTCAATATTGTTGAATATTTAACAATATTAACCAAATTAAAGAATATGTAAGAGAACCTTATTTATAAAGATTCTTGCCATTTGTGAGTTTTAAAAATGTTTACCATGCTTTAATTCAAGAGGGAGAAGGCAATTGTGGTCAATTCAGTTCCATATCCAGCTCACTCAGATCACTGCTCATCTGTAATGGAGGAACACAAATTTTACAACCAGGAGTAAGGTTTGAGGATCAGAGTTTCTTTATTAACTGCTGTTACACACACACAGCCTCTTGATTCTGTCTTCTGACCAGTCTTGACCACAGAAGAGATGTGGAGATTATGTTTTTAGAATGTTAATATGAACATCTAGAAACAAATTTATCAGCCAGTTATTTGGTTAATTCCCAGAATATAGAAACACAACCAGCAAAAAGAAATATGCAATGGACAGTTCATTTATATCCTTTCACAAAAATGTTTCACCTTGAAATTGTGGTGTTTGAGGGAAAAATCATCTATAAAACAATCCTTCAGAGGATTAAATTCAGACTATTATATCTGTATATATTATTCTAGACAGAACTAAGAACTTCCTGTGAAACATAATTGGTATCTAATAAATAAACCTAAGAGAATTCAGATTTTTAAATAGTCAAGAGTGATAATGATAACAGAGAATAGCATGTTTTTATAGTCCTAGTGGCTGCAAAAAAAGATATGGTAGTTCTTATTCCTACAAACCTAGACTGAGAAAAAAGCCAATGGGCTGTGACCTCACCTCCAGCCTATTTCGGTGTATAGGTGAAAACCCCAGAGACCAAGTCAACTCCCTAGAGCTGGGGAGTGGATGGTCCATCCCTCCAATCTTAGGAGGGTCCCAATCACCTGTTTTCTACTTTGGGACTAAAAAAGAGAGTAGGGATAAGTGAAGGCCACTAAGCTGTAGAACACAAGAATCTCCTAAAATATGCTGAAAGGTTTGTGCAGAGAAGAAATTCAGGCAGTCCCAGGGAGCCATATTGTTCTGAAACCAGGAAAGAGATTACTCCTCAAAATTTTTTTTCCAGTAAGTCTTCCTTTTAGTATATAAATGTTCTCTCATTACGGGACTGAAAATGTATGCTGTCTTACATGAATGCAGTTGGTAAACTGTGGATTTACTTGAGAAGCTTTGCATTGTTAAGTTTTCCATGAAAGAGCAGTGTAAGCCCTGCTGGTTATCATTTATGAAGGTTCTTGTGGACTTCTAGAAAAGTATTTACCTCTGATGGTGACATTTCTGTTGGTTAAATTTCAAGACTGAGTTATATACCCAAACACCACTAACTAGCATATTAAAAAATAACTGATTTTGTAGATTAGTTTTACCTTTTAATGGTGATTTTGTAACTGACAATTTGTTTTCAGATCATTTGACTTCTTTTGCTTTGCCTACCTTACATATCGTATTTCATCAATTCTAAACAGCACATTTTTCACATTTTAAAGTTCTCCAGAAATGGAGTGTGTGTTACATATTGGTTTAATTAGCAATGCATTTTTTTTATTAATAGGTATATAGAATACTCATCTTTCAGTCAGTGTCATCCAGTTCAATAAAAAATGGTGGTTTTGCTACATTACAAAAGCTGTGCTACATTATGGTCTGTTAACTTGTCAGGAAATTCCTCCTTATGAAACCAAGGGAGTGATGAGAGCCAGTTTTTCATCTAGAGAAGCAGATAATCACACAGCCTTCATAAGAATAAAGACTAATGCTTCAGACAGCACAGAGTTTATCATTCTTCCTGTTGAGGTTGAAGTTACAACAGGTTAGTGGAAAACTGATGAAATCGAAAGTTGTTTTGTTTTCAGTATAGCTTACTCTGGCAAAGTGAAAAATAATTGTTGACTTTTCTTTTTTCCAAGCTCCTGGAATTTATTCCTCAACTGAAATGTTAGATTTTGGTACACTAAGAACACAAGGTAAAAAAATCTTTTAAAAGAGTCTTTATGGAGTTTTTTTTTTTTTTAACCCCTGTATTCAGTGCTGAATGGCTCTACTATGTAATTCAGCTTTAAACATTATTTCTCAGTTGGTTGCATGATCTTGTACAAATCTCCTTTTCAGACTCAGCGCCTTTACAGGTTTATACCCCATTCCGCTGAGGGGTGGGTGGCATTGCTTAACAGGTTGGAAAACAAGGCCATGGGATAATTTAAGTCATCTAAATGGAAGATTGAGGCAGAAAATAGTTTTCTAGTTTCTTAATCCAGTTGCTCATCAGTTCAGTTACGCTGAATCTTGATTTTTACTTCTGGATTTTGTTTAGATATGAGTTATTAAATTACATTTTGACAAAATGTTGAAAGTTTGTTGCAGCTGTTCAGAAAACTCAAATTCTGAAATTAAAAACAACTAAGTAAAGATTTTTGCTAAGGAAAAACTAAGAGCACTTGTAATTTGGGATGTATATGGACTATATATAATAATATGTAGTTAAGATTGAAGACCATATGTTTAAAAATTAGATTTGCTGTTAGTATATTTTTACATTGTAAATTATTAATTTGCTTCATTATGTTTTGCTGGAAAGCTAAAAGATTAGTAATGTCTGACTTCACAAAAAAATAATATTTGGGGGGCTGGGCATGATGGCTCATGCCTATAATCCCAGCATTTTGGGAGGTGGAGGCAGGCAGGGCACTTGAGGCCAGGAGTTCAAGACTAGCCTGGCCAACATGACGAGACCCCATCTCTACTAAAAAAATAATACAAAAGTCTGCTGGGCATGGTGGTACATGCCTGTAATCCCAGCTAGTCAGGAGGCTGAGGTAGGAGGATCACTTGAACCCAGGAGGCTGAGGTTGCAGTGAGCCAAGAATGCCCCACTGTACTCCAGCCTGGGTGACAGAGCAAGATTCTGTCTCATTTAAAAAAAAAAAAAAAAAGTATATATTTTGGGGTTTTCAAAAATCTGGTTTAAGAGGGAACAGTTCTTATAATACACAATGTCCTTATGAGTAAAGCAATTACCACCTAATGTTTCTTTTTATTAATCTTATTGTCATTGTATTTCACAAATTGATAGCTTCAATTTGATATCTTATAAGGTAAAGATTCTAACTTGGCTAAAAAGCACCTTTTTAAGAAATATTTCTTTTCCTCAATTTTAACAGATCTACCAAAAGTTTTAAACCTTCATTTATTAAATTCAGGAACAAAAGATGTACCAATAACAGTAAGTTTTTACTTCTTTTTTCCCCTAATTTATATATTCTTTGTTTTTAAATGTATGACAAAGTTAAAAATAATTAAACCCTTATTCTAAAATAATTATATTTGGTGATGACCTGGTGACACTTTGGTTCTAAGTGTGATGTGAGAAACCTGTTCTGCCCCAGCCACCCGGATTTTAAGGATGAGAGAGAAATGGGCAATCTTTTCAAAGTAAGTTTGAACCAAAGTTCATGAGTTTCTTATACAGGCACAGTCATATAAAAGGCCTGTTCTGATAAATCCTAAAATCTGTGGGCCATGTGTATAGAAAAACAGGTTATAAGGATTTCATCAGATTTGGTTGTTGGAGTTAAGGTATGGGCAGGAAAGAGGAAGAAGAGTCAGATGAATTGGGAAGAAAATAAGCAAAAAAAATGTTGTAGGTAGTGGTAAAGTGCTGTTAACACTTGTCACAGGCTCCCTAACTAGCAGTTATTGAGTTACCGTAGGCAGCACATTATAAACTAAGGCCCTCTCTCCCTCACACATACATACAGAGTAAGTAACTTTTAGGCCATATGGAATTGAGGTGCCGTTAGATAGTTTTAGGAAAAAAAGGGATATCTAAGTTTTGCCTTGGCCCACAACGTCTCTCCCTGATGAGGTCCCCAAGATATATACATGTGTAATCATTATATAGGAAAATAGGACATTTTTATTATAATTTGTGCTGATGCCAGAAACTTAACTTCAGTGAACTGACAAAATGAAATATAGATCATGTGGGCTTGAGATTTAAGGGACCTTTGTCCATCGATGGCCATACCCAGATTTTATCACCAGCTGGTGGAGTAGACCAAAGAGAGAAGAATATACAAACCCCAGCGAGGAAGCAAGAGATGGTCTTCCCAGGTAACCACATTCTGATGCGCAGTGACCTTCCTCACTAGTGGGACCGGGATGCAGGCATTGTCTTCATATCTGACCTAGCATTTCTCCTAGATGGGAAAGTGCCTTTACTTAGCCCAAGCAAACCAGCCTAACTTTTTACGTACAATAAATGGACTGAAACAAGTATCTTTTTCAATAAACATATTATAGGAAAATGAAATTGGCAATTAACCCTAAGAATGTGAATGAAGAACTAGTACTCAGGTCACTTATGACATGGAATTAAATAGGCCCATGTTTGTCCTTTTTCTTATTCACTAAGGAGTTTTAGGATATATTGTAAGTGAACATTTTTGCTCTTACTGGGTCAGGCACTATGCTAGTACTGCTATGTAATAAATGTATTACTTAATACCTATATGGTGCAGTGGTCCTAGTTTTCTAGATAGGAAAGCTGAGTTAGAGCTGCTTTTTTTTTTTTTTTTTTTTTTGGAAGTGACTTACACAACTATAAAAAATGCAAAAATAGGCCAGGCATGGTGGCCTCACGCCTGTAATCCCAGCACTTTGGGAGGCTGAGGCTGGTGGATCACTTGAAGTCAGGAATTCAAGACCAGACTGGCCAACATGGCGAAACCCTGTCTCTACCAAAAATACAAAAATTAGCTGGGCATGGTGGCATGTGCCTGTAGTACCAGCTACTCAAGCTGAAGCAGGAGAATTGCCTGAACCTCAGAGGTGGAGGCTGCAGTGAGCCAAGATCACGCCGCTGTGCTCCAGCCTGGGCAACAGACCGAGACTGTCTCAAAAAAAAAAAAAAAAAAAAAAAAAGAGGTATGTGAAACATGAAAGTATATTATACAGTGTCACTTAGCAATCACATCTTTATGAATATATCATTTTAATTGCATAGTCTATTTCTGTTAAAAACCTATATATCTGTTAATATAATACATCTGTACCTACATCTGTACCTACCTATGTGTGTATCTTTTATAATATCCAAAGCCCAAACTCTGCCAGTGTTTTGGTAGTTTTCTCTTATTCCCGCCTTCATTCACCCATTCAATAAATATTTAATGAACATCAACTGTATGCTAGCTGCTATGCTGACTGAGAATACAGCAGTGAATCAGACCACTGGGGTTCCCTACCCCATCAAGCTCACTGTTTATCAGGGCTCTCTGGAACTCTGGGAGATATTTAGATTTTATTCTAAGTGTAATGGGAAATTATTACAGGATTTTAAACGAGAGTGACATCATCTGATTTATGTGTTGTAAAAGGTCACTGTAGCTACTTTGTGGAGAGTGAACTTACAGACATGGAAGGGCAGAAAGCAAAGGAGACCACTTGGGATCTGATTTAGCAATCAGCCTGAGAAATGATGGTGGCTTAGATTTCCCACCTTATCAGCTATGGGGCAAGCCCACCTACCGTGGAAACTGAGTTTTCAGAGCTCTTCTTAAGGTTTTCCCTGTGTGTTTCAGCATTTTCTGCATAATTCACCAGGCTTAGAGACTATAGATATTTAGAAAGGTTCCTGTCTCCTTTTGTTTCACAAACATAGAATTTTCAGGATTTGCTAAGCAGTGCTAGAAGCTGGAGATCTTTTTTTTAAATTCCCCTTCAGGGAATTCATTCTCTTTCTAAATATAGGATTACTAAAGCAAGCAATTCCAAATAGAAGTTCCTCAACTGCTAACAGACAGGATGCGCAGGTCCAAACTCTCCTAATATGTCTATAATGCAACTTTGAGAAAATGGCTTTCCTCAGCATTTACAAAACATTAGTGCTGTATAAATGATGGAGTAAGTTTGCCTGAGATGCCTTCAGAGGAATGTTTGCATGAGGTTTCCCTTGGTAATTAACAAATCGGAATCATAATATCAGCTTAACATATGCTTTAGTGAACTCATACACAAATTATTAGAAATACAATGTTAAATGCTGAAAGTGCTTTTTTCCTTATTTGCTCAAGTGCTTTTATAAGCAGTTTTAGAATGTTCCGGACCGTTGAATTTCACTTGAGGGTTACTGAGCATTAGTTGGGTCTGAATGTTGTGAGAAAAGCCTAGAACTATATTTAGAACATATGCAAGCTTGCGAACTGCCTTTCCTGGGAAACTTGCAATAGTTTTATACTTCTTGATTATCTTTGAGTTAGCAATAGTCACTAACAGGTTGTTGTATAAATATGCTTACTACAAGGTGTTGATTGTGTATGAGTTGTCATTTAAAGCCACCAGAATGGGCCAGCTACTTAAGTGTTTTGTCTTGGGTTTGTTTGTTGGCTTTTTGTTTCCCTGGAAAATGGGTTTTAACAATTTGGGTTTGGTTTTTTTTTTTTTTTTTTTTTTTTAACTGATAATGAGTGAAGAATTCAGACCATTTGTATAAAACATGAGTTTTCAGTTGAATATTTCTTTGTTATTACTGCAGCGTATTTTAAGGTAGCAATACTAATGTAAAGTTTTTATCTGGTAAGGAAAATCTTAAAGTGGTGTGTTTCACATGAAAAAAATTTCATCAACTATTTTAAATTCTTACTAATAGTGACTATATTTTAACAAACATCCTTGCTTTGCTATTTCTGGCTTGGTGTTGTACAGGCTGATAACACTCAAAAAATATTGTGCTTGTTGTTGATGAACTCCCACTTCTAGCCTTTAAGCATATTGAAAAATGGTCAAGCCTTCATTGTGTGTCCAGAGTTGGTTCCTTCTGGTGGGTTCTTGGTCTCTCTGACTTGAAGAATGAAGCCATAGACCTTCGTTGTGAGTGTTACAGCTCTTAAAGGTGGTGCGGACCCAAAGAGTGAACAGCAGCAAGATTTATTAAGAGCGAAAGAACAAAGCTTCCACAGCGTGGAAGGGGACCCTAGTTGCCTCTGCTGGCTTGGGTGGCTAGCTTTTATTCCGTTATTTGGCTCCCCGCCATGTTCTGCTGATTCGTCCATTTTACAGAGCGCTGATTGGTCCATTTTACAGAGTGCTGATTGTTGCATTTACAATCCTTTAGCTAGACACAGTGCTGACTGGTGCATTTTTACAGAGTGCTGATTAGTGCATTTACAATCCTTTAGCTAGACACAGAGCGCTGATTGGTGCGTTTTTACCGAGTGCTGATTGGTGCATTTACAATCCTTTAGCTAGATACAGAGCGCTGATGGGTGCATTTTTACAGAGTGCTGATTGTTGCATTTACAATCCTTTAGCTAGGCACAGAGCACTGATTGGTGTGTTTACAGTCCTCTAGCTAGACAGAAAAGTTCTCCAAGTCTCCACTCAACCCAGGAAATCCAGCTGGCTTCCCCTCTCAATCCCCCCTCTAAATAGGACACCCCAACTGCTGTTGGGAATTGGGCAATGATCATTCTAGCTACTTCCTACTGGATAAGGGCAAAGAAGGGACCCTGCAGTGGTAGTGTCCTCCAGAGGGGAACTGTCTAGGCCAGTCAAAGGGCCAGTGGGTCGATCCAGGGGTCCTTGGTAGAAGTTGTTAGTTGAGCTTATTTGGGGTTCCATTTGTAAGACCATCTGTAGCTTGATGGCCTCGATCGTAGAGGAAACAAATTTGACAAGGAGATTAAAAATACAGGGCCCAAAGGCGAGTAATAGCAAGATGGCTGTCACAGGACCTAGAAAGGGAAGATGCCATGTTCCCCAACTCCAGAGGTTGGTATAAGAGTTGGAAAGGCATTGAAAGAGTTTGAAAGGCGTTGTCTGATTTCAGAAGCCTTTTCCTGTAAACGCTGTAGTATCCCTGACTGGTTAGTGTAAAAAAACACTCTTCTCCTAAGAAGGTGCAAAGTCCTCCTTTCTCAGCAGTGAGGAGGTCTAGGCCTCAGCAGTTTTGGAGAGTCACTGCTGCCAAAGAGTCTATTTGGGATTGTAGAGTAAGGATAGATTTCATTATTTCTTGCAAACTGTCTGAGAAATCCTTTGAGAGTTTGTGGTAGTAGGATAATGATGTAGATAAACCTGCTATTCTGGTTCCTGTAGCAGTGGCCATCTCTAACCCTATAAGTAGGGGTGTTAGTTGTATGGCCCTGTGCTGAGACACTTGAGCTTTGAGGGGCACAGACCCTATGTCTGATTTCCATAAGATTAGAAGTTAGGATAATATATGTTACACTTTTTTTTTTTCATAATTGAGATTTCATTGGTTGAGGATCGTACAGACATTTCAATTTGTACACAAATCTTAACATACATAACGAAATTCTAAAAAGCCATGTATTGTAATTATTTTTTAAAGTTATTCCAGTGACTTTCCAGCTTAAAATTTGGAAGCAAATTTTCCTTAAGAGGCTATCAAGTACCAGTATCTTCACATGTTGGTCAGCTGTTACATACAGCCCACCAGTTCACAACTCAATAGCACGTACACTACATATTCAAATTTGTAATCTTTCACAGCACAGTAACAAAGTTATTAGGAAAACAGGACTACCACAACCAAAGATGTTACAGAGTGCACACAATTCTGGCAGAGAGAGCCATGATCAAAGAGTGGTTTTCTTTAGGAAACAATTCTACTAAAAAACAACATGGTAATAGAAGTAATTTAAAATGTTCAAGACATTAAATGCAGGACTGACTCCATATTGCCATTTAATATGCTTTGTATTATAGGATATAAAAACTAACCCCCCATCTATGGAATGTTAAGCTGACACCCGAGACAATCAGAGCCTCCCATAATTCAATATCCCACACTATTTTCTGGTTGTACCAAAAAATAAACAACCAGCAAATGATTTCACCTCTTAAAAAAAAGCATTTACACTTAAAAAATGGGATGAGGTGGGATTCCCTCCTTCTTAAAAATGTTTCTAGAGCTACTAAAAAACTTGCATTTACAAAATAGTTGATAAAAATATTCCTCTGGATTGTACAAGAAGGGAGACAGGGACCACTGATAAGACATGGTATATGGTTATTAATCAGACTTGGCTTCTTTCTCTCCTGCTTCATCAGAGGCTGGACTCTCCTCAGTTTTCGTTTCCCCATTTTCTGCAGGTAAATCTTCTTTAGTTTCTTGGTTAGCCACTTCGGCCTGTTTTCCCTTTGCTCCCCTTTTCCCTTTTGTTTGCACGTTTTTGTCTGAAGATTTATCCTTCGCTGCTGCCTTTTTCGGCTTTGCTTCCACTTTTGCAGGAGGTTTAGCTGACAACCGCGCCGATCTCCTCTTGGGCTCTTCCTTGGCAGCGGCTTCAGCGGAGCTGACCTTCCTCTTGGGCATCCTGGCGGCGGGGAAGGCGCGTGCCAGGTGCCTGCGGGCCGCGGCGCGCCAAGAGCCTTCACGAAACTGGGCTGCCTTGCCGCTGCCACTCCTCCCCAACACTGTTAACTTTTAGCAAACTTTTGTTGAAAACCTTGTAAGTTTGGGATTTTAAAATTTTTTTTTTTTTTTTTTTTTTTGCTTATCACTTACTGAATACCCATTGTGTCTTTTTCCCTTAATTGCTTGGGAGGAACCATCTATCGTCCTGTCCTGAAGGGAGTTCCTCCTAGGTCTGGTCGGACCTTTGTATAGTAATTAGTTAAGATTTAGATCCCCTGTTAGGAAACCTGCTGGGTTAAGGATTTTTGATAGGAAGGCTACTGGTTGTCAGTGACCTCAGTGCTTTCAGGCTATGTCCTTGTTTACTCTGACAGCAAGGTGGTATTGGAGTGTTATAGGGTTACAGAGAAGACCTTCAATTATCAATTATAGGTTTTAAATTTACCCTGGCTTTTAAAGGACTAGGGTACACTTTTTTCTTTACTACTTCCATTTCTTTTTCTTTCTCTTTGACTTCTTTTTTGTCTCTCTTTTTTTCTCTTTCTGACTTCCTCTTTGTCTCTTCCCCTCTCTCACTGTTTCTCTTTCTCTCTGACTTCCTCTTTGTCTCTGTCTCTTCCTCTCTCTCTCTGACTTTCTGTCTCTTTCTCTCTTTCCTTTCTGCTGGTCTTTCCCTGCCTCTGCCAGCTGCTTATGCTGCTGTTCTCCCTTCTCCTTCCCCTTTTGATGGCTTCGGCGGTGTGAGACTGCCACCTCTTTGGATTTTTGTACTGCGTGCAATAACTCCATAATTTCCTTGTGGTATTTAATGGGGGTTCCCCTAGAGGTTAGGAACTCCCTTTCTTTCCATATTGCAGCATGGGCATGTAGGAATAGATAAGCATACTTGCTATCTGTATACACACATTTATTCTTTTTCCCTTTCTCAGTTTTAAGGCTCAGGTAAGTGCCACTAGTTCTGCTAACTGGGTGCTGCTCCCTAGGAGAAGAGGCTTACTTTCAAGTACGGTTGCATCATTAACTATGGCATAACCTGCCCTTCATATCCCATTTTCCACAAATGAACTTTCATCAGTATATAGGTTAAGTTCAGGATTAGCTAAGGGGACTTCTAAGAGATCATCTCAGGTGGCATAAATCTGGACTATAATTTGTCAGCAGTCATGCTCGATTGGTTCCCCATCCTCTGGGAGAAAAATGGCAGGGCTGAGGGCCACACATGTACATATTTGAAGCACCGGTTGCTCAAGGAGTAGCATCTGCTATCTAAGTAGGCGGTTGTCTGATAGCTATAAACTTCCTTTGGCACCTACTATGCCATTTACATCATGAGTAGTCCAGACAGTGAGATCCTTTCCTTGTATTATTTTGATAGCCTCTGACACTAAGATGGCCACTGCCACAACCACTCATAAACAGTGAGGCCAGCCTTTTGCTACTACATCAGTTTTCTTACTTAGGTATGCCGCTGGTTGTGGGGTTGTCCCACGAGTCTGAGTAAGGACTCCAAGAGCTATCCCTGCTCTCTCTCTGACGTATAAAGAGAAGTGTTGTCCTGTGAGAAGGCTTAAAGCTGGAGCTTGTAGTAGGGCCTGCTTTAAGGTTTTGAAGGCTGTTTCTGCCTCTGGTTCCTATTCTACTAGATGAGTATCTGCCCTCTGGGTCTCCTTGATTAGAGCATAGAGTGGTCTGGCCATCTTGCTGTATCCGGGGATCCATAGTCAACAAAAGCTGGTGATGCCAAGGAACCCCCGTAACTGTTTTGTCTTAGGGTGAGGATAAGCCAGTATAGGCTGTATTCATTCCTTGCTGAGGGCACTGGTCCCTCTAGCTAAGATTAGGCCTAGATATTTGACCTGCTGTAGGCAAAGCTGGGCCTTCGACCTAGATGCCTTGTACCCTTGATTAGCTAGAAAGTTCAAGAGATCTAGAGTAGCCTGCTGGCATGAGGCTTCCGAACTGATAGCCAAAAGTAAGTCATCCACATACTGAAGGACCAGAGTGCCTGGACTTGAGAAGTGGCCTAGATCATGGGCCAGTGCCTGACCAAACAGATGAGGGCTATCCCTAAACCCTTGGCATAAGACCGTCCACATAAGTTGGGACATGTGGTCTGTGGGATCCTCAAAGACAAAGAGAAACTGGGAGTCAGAGTGCAGGGGAATACAGAAGAAGACATTCTTGAGGTCCAGAACAGTGAACCATTCTGCTTTCTCTGGTATTTGAGAGAGCAGGGTATAGGGGTTGGGTACAACTGGATATAGAGGAATTACTGCCTCACTGATGAGTCTAAGATCTTGCACTAGTCTAAGATCTCCACTGACCATTCGGTTTTTGTACTCCTAGAATTGGGGTGTTGCAGGGACTGCTGCATTTCCTTACTAAGCTTTGAGCTTTTAAATGTTTAACAATATCCTGTAATCCTTTATGAGCTTCAGGCCTTAAGGGATATTGCCTTTGATAAGGAAAAGTAGTGGAGTCTTTTAGCCTGATTTGAACTGGGTGGGCATTTTTTGCCCTTCCAAATTGTCCTTCCAATGCAGAGACTTCAGGGTTGATTCCCTCCTCAAGTAGGGGACAACAAATGGGTAACTTGTTCCCCATATTCATGTAGGTAATAGCTCCAGCTTTGGCTAATATATCTCTCCCTAATAAGGGTGTGGGACTTTCAGGCATAACGAGAAAGGCATGTGAAAAGAGCAAAGTCTCCCAATTACAACTCAGGAGGTGGGAGAAATACCTGGTTACAGGCTGTCCCAGGATTCCTCGGATGGTAATGGACCTTGAGGACCGTCGTCCAGGACAGGAGATTAACACTGAGAAGGCTGCACCAGTGTCCAGGTGGAAGTCAATTTCCTGGCCTTCAATGGTTAAACGTACCCAGAGCTCAGTGAGGGTGATGACATGAGCTGGCACTTGCCCCGGGCACCCTCAGTCCTGCTGTTGGATTATCTGGTTGGGGGCTTCTGGCCTAGAGAACCTTTGCCCTCTGGGGCAGTGTGCCTTCCAGTGATTGCCTCAGCATAGTGGACATGGGTGAGGGGGTGGCTTATTTTTCATTGGACAATCTTTTTTAAAGTGTCCTTGTAAACCACACTGATAACAAGCCCTACCAGGTGATTGGCCTGCTCAATTTTCTTTCCTCTCTGAACCACCAAGGTTTGTTTGAGGGCCTTGACTAAGGCTGTGGCCTTTCTCTGATCTCGCTTTTCCTTTTGGGCCTGTTCCTCTTGGTCCCTATTATAGAACACCGAGGTTGCCAGGATTAATAATGCCTCCAGATTTTGTTCAGGGCCCAGGGCTTGCTTTTGGACCTTCCTCCTGTTATCTGTGGCTGATTGGGTAATAAACTCATCTTTTAGGATCAGTTGACCCCCAAGGGAGTTGGGTGACAGGAGAGTATATTTCCTTAAGACCTCCCGTAGCTGCTCGAGGAAGGCAGAAGGATTTTCTTCCTTTCCCTGAGTTATGGTGGACATCATTGAATAACTCATGGGCTTTTTCCTAATTCTTCTTAGTCCTTCCAGAACACAGGTCAGCAGATGTTTACAACTCCAGTCCCCATGATCTTGAGTCTAGATCCCAGTGGGCATCCATACTGGGGATGGCTTGCTGACCGGTAGGGAATTTGTCCCTTTCTTCAGCTGTCATTCTATCATTTACTTGGCTAAGACACCAGGTATCTCCAAATTCTTGGGCTGCAGCTAAAGCCGCATTTTTTTCATTAAAGGCCAGGGTTTGATCTAACAATAGCATGACATCTCTCCAAGTGAGATCAAAGGTTTGCCCTAGACCATGTAGGACATCTGTATACCTATCAGGATCATTTGAAAGCTTCCCCAGGTCTGCCTTGATCTGCTTTAAATCAGAGAGGGAGAAGGGGACAGGTACCCAGGTTGGGCCAAATTCCTCTCCCCCTACAGCTTGAAGGGGACATAACCGATAGCCCGGGGAGTTTTGTGGTACCTTGGAGATTTCTTTGCTTGTTTCCTTCTGGGTGGGGGAAATTAGAGGAGGCTTATCATTAATAGGAAGGTGAACTATAGGGAGGCTAGGATATGGGGGTAAGCTGAGAGGTCCTCCTGTGGGATGTAAATTGCAAGCTTTGCATAGTTGTGGATTCTCCGTCAATGAAAAGAAAGCTTAGAGATAAGGTATTTCACTCTACTTGCCTTCCCTCTTACAGAAAAGGTCAAGCTGCAGGATAGTATTATAATTTATACTTCCCTCAGGTGGCCATTTTCCCCATCAGAGAGAGAATATTGGGACCAGGCCGTAGTGCAGAAAAAAATGAGCCACATCTTTTTCAGGGTTTATGGGTCAAATTGGTCCCAATGGCTTAGGATGCATTTCAAGGGTGAGCCTGTTGATGCCTGAGTGTTTCCCATCTGAAAGACAAAACTGCCTGTGGTTTTGGTTTGTTTGTTTCCCCCCAGCCCAGGCACCCACAACAGTCCCTGGACCCTGCTGATCGGAATAGTTGCACTCACCAACGCAGCAGCAGAAACACTAGTTTTCCTCCTAGACCACAAGGAGGACCAAGGAAGGTTGGATTTAGTGGCCCTTACCAACACATTCTCGAAAACCTGCACCCTTGCCTGTCCTCCTATACCACAAAGAGGACCAAGAAAAATCAGATTTAGTGGCCCTTACCGACGCATTCTCGAAAACCTGTTAGAGTTCTAAGCATTCTCCTGTTAGTGTTGGGACTTTACCCCATCCTATAAAGATGTTATGCCCCAAAAATGAAGTGGAGGGCCGTACCCTGAGCAAGGGAAGGGATCTCCAGGGTTGGAAGAGTGACGCCTTTTATCCTCACTTCTCATCATGTGAAAAGGAAGGATATCGTTTCTGAGGCTCCCCGTATCCTAGCTTCAGGAATAGCTTTTGTTAGGCCTGCTAGTCTGAGGAGGGATCCTAAAATTCCAGGTAGTCCCCCTGCCCTCGAAGGGGCTTTGGGCAAAAATTATGTCTTTGATTGGTGAGTCCAGGTGCCTAAAGGAGGGAATAGAGTCCTGGAGTTTATACTGGAAATCATTCTTATAGGAGAAACTAGAAAGGCATCAGAGACAGAGAGTGGTTTTTAGAAGCGGAACTATCCTTGGAGAAGAGAGGCAAGAGGAAGTTTGTCTGACAGGCATTAGGACCCAGGGGGCAAGGGTCAGGATAGATAGGATAGATAGGCAAGTCTCGCTTGGGCAACATAACTTTGAGAATTCCGCTCATGGCCACAGTCAACCAACTTTTTGTCGGGATCCCGGAGCTGAATGGCTTTCCTCTCTGTTGACCCTCAGCTCAGCCCAGAAGTACAGGAAAAGTGGAAGATGGTTCCAGGCAAACCAATGCTCCCAACTCTGAAGAGTTGGGGGTTGTTAGCCCTTTCCCAGAAAGCCTGACACCTGTGTCTTTAGTCCGGTGGCTGTGCCAGTCGCTTTTAACTGGCTGACAGGTGTCCGGTATTTAGCCCCCGAATTCTAAGGAAAAATAGGACAGAATAGCAAGTGAAAGGGGTCCAGTGGTGCTCACTGCTTGGCGATAGTCCCTTCCTGGTCACCAAAATGTATCCCATGTGGGTCGCCAAAATGTGTCCGGAATTTCTTCCTTCCAGTGAGTTCGTGGTCTTGCTGACTTCAGGAGTGAAGCCGCAGACCTTCGTGGTGAGTGTTACAGCTCATAAAGGTAGTGCAGACCCAAAAAGTGAGCAGCAGCAAGATTTATTGTGAAGAGTGAAAGAACAAAGCTTCCACAGCCTAGAAAGGGACCCAAACGGGTTGCCTCTACTGGCTCGGGTGGCCAGCTTTTATTCCCTTATTTGGCCCTGCCCGCGTCCTGCTGATTGGTCCATTTTACAGTGTTGATTGGTGCGTTTTTACAGAATGCCGATTGATGCATTTACAGTCCTTTAGCTAGACACAGAGCACTGATTGGTGCGTTTTTACAGAGTGCTGATTGGTGCATTTACAGTCCTTTAGAGACAGAGTGCTGATTGGTGCATTTACAATCCTTTAGCTAGACACAGAGCACTGATTGGTGTGTTTACAATCCTCTAGCTAGACAAAAAAGTTCTCCAAGTCCCCACTCAACCCAGGAAGTCCAGCTGACTTCACCTCTGAATTGTTGCTGGATCATATTCAGTAGAGCAAATGAGGAACTTCAGGAGCCATATCTGTGGAAGTCCTCTGCAAACTACAGAGCTTCATGTGATCACCTGTAACAAAGCTTGGCCTCAAGATAAAGTGGCTCATTTGTGGGGGGAAAAAAAGCAAAATTAACTGACTCACAAAATGTTGTAGATGATGGGATCTCAGAAAACAACCCATTCCCCTGGCTGGGCTGCTTTTTTTTTTTTTTAGAAGGAGTCTCACTCTGTTGCCCAGGCTGGAGTGCAGTGTCCCAATCTTGGCTCACTACAACCTCCGCCTCCCGGATTCAAGTAGTTATCTGCCTCAGCTTCCCGAGTAGCTGGGATTATAGACACCCACCACCACGCCTGGCTAATTTTTGTATTTTTAGTAGAGACGAGCTTTCACCATCTTGTCCAGGCTGGTCTTGAACTCCTGACCTCATGATCCACGTGCCTTGGCCTCCCAACGTGCTAGGACTACAGGCATGAGTCACCATGCCCAGCCAGGATTTTTTTTACAGGTGGGAAAAATGAGCCCCAGAGTAGATGGGCAGCTGACTCAAGCTCACATCTCTAGTTAAACATCCTTTTATTGCATAAAGTGATGCCACTGGATTGTCACATATACTTCTGTACTGATTTCCTCTCTTTGGAAAAAGTATTAGCATGGTAATATAGTATAGTATAACCAAATGGAACTTTTCCCAGTTTGTCTTACAGTTCAAACTCTACTTTGTTTTATTATTAAAAATACACACACTCACCTTTCAGTGAATGAAGAAATTTGTATTTTAAATGTCGCTAATAACAGCAAACTTATTGATAAGTAAAAATATTACATGAACAAATCATTCCCAGCCCCAGCTAGAGATCCAAAAGCAATTGAGAAGGAGTTCTTGAAGAAGAAAAACGGAGGAAGTTAAAAAGAGTTAAAATGCCAAGAGAGCCTGAGGTCCACAGAACCATCCTTAGGGCCTTCATTTCAGACCCTGTGAACGAACACTTGCTGACAGCCCAGGACTAACCCACCAATGGAAAGGGAGCTGCTCTAGCAGTGTCTTTGATCATTATCATATAATCAGATCCGTACCCTGTGATCCCACACACAAGGCACGAGGATCATTCTCTCTCTCCATGCTCTTCTCAGGTGCTTATCGCACCTTCAAGAGACTGCCCTTTGATGTTCTGTTGAGGCAGATTTCACCTTTATAAACGGGCGGAAAAGAGCAGGCAGGGATCCAGGGGGAAGAACATAGTGACTTGCTGGATCTGACTGTGCTCCTGTTAAGGGGCTTGCCTGATAAGTCTCACAGAAAAGGACAATGTTCTTTTCTCCGGGAAATAGCAGGCTTTGACAAGTTTTTAAAGCCCTTCATAATTCAACAAATACAACCCACGAGGGTTCAGACCAAGGTTCAGATTCAAAGTAATCATAAAGGAAGATTATTTTTTAATCAAGAGTTGTATACAGTACCACGATTTTGTGATACATGTTTGTGCAACAGGATGTCAGATGAAGGCCCTGCACCAACCCAGGGATTCTTGTTTCATTCCTACCTGTTGATGCCTAGCTATTAAAACATCAATATTGGAAATTTCATTAGTAAAACAGAGAAGGAGGTTGGAATCTTTTACGTCCCTTCCAATTGAAAGGGCTTTGTGTCAGTGAGGAAATAAAAAATAACTGTACCTTAAAATGTATTTTTAAAAAGCATGCTCTCCAAGTACAAGGTTTTCCTGTTTGTTGTTATTTAAGCATTCTGGCTTCAAGCTGAACATCCCTGTGGGCTGCCTCAGTGCTCAATCCCATAGCCAGCAGTATAGCCCTCTCTCTGGATAGCAGCATGCCTCACTCGCAGAGCCATGTCTAGAGAGAAAGAGAAAATGCCATTAGAAATGAAGTGTGCAGAACTACCTTGGCACTGACACACCAGCTTCCAAGTTCATGTTTATTCTTCACCGTCATATGGTTCAGATATTTCCTCAGTATTGTGAATTTCTTTAAGAGGGATCCATAAGTCTTTTTCATGTCGCCTCCACTGGTGTGTGAATTAGGCATTCATTTGGAAAATAAGTACCTTTTTTAAATGCTTTATGTACTCACACCAAATGTAATAGATTCTTACACTTACAAATCTGTCATGCTTATTCTCTGGTCATTTTCTTTTATAAAGATATTCTGATGAAATTAATTTGAAGTTTTCCAGTGTGGCCTACTCCATTTAAAGGGACAACATAAGTTAAACTTTTCAAATTTAGAGTCCACTTTACTTTTCCAGTATACTTTCCAGTATAAGTATAAGGCAACTGAACCATTAGTCTGAAATAATGCCATGTATGTATTTTTGTTCTCTTTGCAGAGTGTTCGACCTACACCACAAAATGATGCTATAACGGTACACTTTAAACCAATTACATTAAAAGCATCAGAAAGTAAATACACCAAGGTTGCAAGCATTAGTTTTGATGGCAAGTATTCACCATTTTCTCTCTGATAGAGTGATGTTATTTTGATAAACTAGAAAGCATCTGTATTAACGTCTTAATATAAAAATCCAAACTGTTTTACCATCAGAATTTATATTACTGCTTAGGTTGATCCCCCCCCGCCCCCCCCCGCTGTAAACCATCATGAACTCTTACTTGATTGATTCATGAGAGAAAATACCACAACTTTATAAAGCTAAATCAGTATTAGCAATAGAAAAGCACTAGCAAATACATTAGGATTGGAATCATTTCCATAATCTGGGCTAGCCTTTTTACACATATTATGTATTATAATTCATCTTAATTATGAAGTTACAATATATTTGAAGTTCTGAAACATGTTTGAATTTGAGAGCAAAAATAAAAAGTATTCTTTGTAACATTTTCATATATTGGCTTTTATAGGCAAAGCAGATCCCCTACTTAAGCTAAAATAATAGACTTTATGACAGAATTGTCCAGTTAGCTATTATTTCTAATGTGTATAGTATACATTTTGATACTTGAGGTGTTAAGCCAGACTATACCATTTTTATAGCATGTTTTTATTTAGTTTTGCCTACTTTAATTGGAACATTCATTGAATTTGCTGTCACAACATTTTTAAAATAATGACTTAATGGCTGCTTAACCATACAGATAATTAAATGAGAATTGAACCTCTGAACAGGGCTTTTTTCATAGGCACCCATGCAACTGAGTAGCTGCTATTAAGCTTAAACTTTGGCTTTATGATAAAGCCATCTGTGCTCAGAGTCCACATAGTAAAGCTCAGCTCCTCATCGGATGAGAATATTTGATCAATGAATGTAGGAGGACACTGGCACACTTCACACAGTGTTTATGAGAGTATCTATGCCTGCTGCTCACTGTGGAGAGTTCTAGGGAGGGTCTGGAGCAGCTACGGAGGTGGGGCTGGCCTCAGGGTTCATCCTGTGAGCTCAGTGAGGACTCTCAAGGAATAAAAATCACATAGGCAGCATACTTCATGATACAGTTGTCAAGAAATAGTATTATAGAAGACATTAATGCCACAGTAATTTCTACATTTGTGGTAAAGTGTTCTCTATGCTGCTGAGAGACCACATTCATGCCTACCAGTGTCAGTATCACGAGGTACATTGTCTTCCCTTACAGAGGAGGAGGCGGCTAATTTTTGTATTTTTAGTAGAGACAGGGTTTCACCATGTTGGCCAGGCTGGTCTCAAACTCCTGACCTCAGGTGATCTGGCTGCCTCAGCCTGGCAAAGTGCTGGGATTACCGACGTGAGGCACTGCACCCAGCCAGGATAAGAGCATTTAGGACCCACCCTTCACAGATGTGCCGGAAAATTCTCCACATGGTCTGCAAGGGTGAAGAGCTGCTCTGCAAGGGTGAAGAGCTACTCTTCTCTAGCTCCTGTATTGACCACCCACTTAATCTTTCCCTTCTTGAGATAAATGCGATGTCATTAGTGTTGGTTCTTCTGAGATCGTAGGCTCTAAGATAATTGTTTCTTAAAGAAATATGTAAAATTAAATAACAACAGCAAAGGGAAAGCATCTTTAAGAGCAAATGCTACATTTCTTAAAAGTAGGTTTTTAATATCATGTGAAAATCCCCCCACCATTCACCTCTCCCACTGCCATGCTGGATCCCCACACAAAATACCTCTGAGATTGCTGTGAAAATCAGTCAGGAAGTGTGTGTTATTTAACTTTTAATATTGTTAGAATGCACCTTATATATGTATTAACTCTGCAGTGTTCATTTATCAAGCATCTTTCTCATCAAAAGTTATTCTTCATGATTTTCAACAGAATTTTCTTGAGCTTTTTGACCACTTTATTTGCTATGTATGATACAATGTCATGAAATGCTTAAATGTGGCCCTTGTAATCAGTCTTACGTCAGAACAAATAGTGAAAAATTGAAAGCATCCAGAGATGGCTAACTAGCAAGCAGAGAAATAAGAGGCTGAATGGGAATTTTTAAAATGGAAAGTCTGTGTCTGCCATAGTCAAACACTAGATGTCATACCATTTCCTTGTTCTTTTTTGTCATGAGGTTGGATGACACACATTTGCGGAACTCACATATGAATTCTTCACATAAATGGAAGTGTTCCTAAAGTACTCTAAGAGGATAAACATAAACAGCTTCTTTATTTGCTTTGAAAAGAACCATCTAATGGGTACCTAGATTGGACCCAACTGAATCAATTTCTGTAATTCCTTATTTATTTATTTATTTTTTAATTTTTGTTTTTTTGGGTCAGAGTCTCGCTTTGTTGCCCAGGCTGGAGTGCAATGGCGCAATCTCGGCTCACTGCAGCCTCCACCTCCCAGGCTCAAGCGATTCTCCTGCCTCAGCCTGCCAACTAGCTGAGATTACAGGCACGTGCCACCACACCTGGCTAGTTTTTGTGTTTTTAGTAGAGACAGGGTTTCACCATGTTGGCCAGGTTTGTCTCGAACTCCTGACCTCAGGTGATCTGGCTGCCTCAGCCTGGCAAAGTGCTGGGATTACCGATGTGAGGCACTGCACCCAGCCAGGATTATTCAAAACTGCTATGAAATCTGAAGTTTTTACTTCATCTAAGATGAGGACAATATAATATGATGACAGGAGGGGATTTATCTCCTCTTATACCATGAGTTTTAGGGTTGGCTGGTTTTTGAGAAGAGCTCTGAATTCTTGACTTTTCTTATACCATGCTACTTTATTGGTGATAGAGCAAGACTTTGGCCATACAAGAAATGTTATTTCTTTCTCAGTTCAAGTGTAAATCAGCAGGGCTAAGTGGGGGGTAATTTTGCCTCCAAGGGGATATCTGGCAATGCAGAGAGGCATTTTGGTAGTCACAGCTGCAGGGATGCTACTGCCGTCTAGCAAGTAGAGGTCCGGGATGCTGCTAAACATCCTACAGTACACACAACAGCCTCCGCAACGAAGAATTAATCTGGCCTAAAATGTTAACAGTGCCAAGGATGAGAAATTCTGCTGTAAGTAAAGCCAAAGCCTGTGGCTACAGCAAAGCAGCTTAGGTACAGTGTTTTACCTCCTGAACCATGCTCACCAGCTAATTCCTTATCTGCTTATCTTATTACAGGAAATATAAAACATTTTCCCCCTTTTGTATGAAAAATGTGATGTTTCATTTAAAATGTTATAAAAAGTGTTCTGTTGGCCAATTTGGAAGCTCAACTTTTTTTTTTTTTAAGATTTTGTCAATTTACATAAATTCACTAATTCTCTTTGGTAGTAAAAGGTAACAGAGATTATTTTTTATGCTTCCTTTCAGCATCGAAGGCAAAAAAGCCATCTCAGTTTTCTGGGAAAATAACAGTTAAAGCAAAGGAAAAGAGTTATTCTAAACTTGAAATACCATATCAAGCAGAAGTTTTAGATGGGTGAGTTTCTTTTTAAAATAAATTCTATTACTTTTTACTAATCAGTAAATTATATTTTCCTGCTAAATGACCTGCAGAAATACTAGCCACGTTCACATAAACTTGATGGAATTATTTTTTGAAAGAACAGCCCCAACTATAAAAGAGAAAACCTCCTATATTTTGTTTATATTTTACTTTTTTAGAAGAAAAGGGTAAGTGGGATGATAGGATTTGGGCTTAAATGAAGACTTAATGATTCAAAAATCTGATTTTTTAAATATTATTTAAATCATTTGAACCATTTCCTTTCTGACATTTGTTTGTAATATGTAAGTGATTGTGGCCTATTATTAAAGTATTTTGACACTCGAAACAGAATTCTTTATATTCCTTTATAAATTCATAAACACTTCTAGAATTACAACTTTTTATAAATGGGAAGTGACATGTTCATTTTCTATTGTACTTTAACCAATAGTAGTTTAATACTCAACTTGGCAAAGATTCATTTTAGCAAAGCTCCTTGTAATTCAGTGATAAGCATGATTTTTTTCAAAGTAAAGCTTTTTTTGTTGATATGTCTTTGATTCTAATTGTATGATTCATATAATTCATTAGAGAATGGTTGTTTGTATTAATTTCAGTATTTTGCAAGCTAAATTTTGTTTTAAATCATATAGTCAATCACTAAAATATTATAGTTCTAAATCTTTAATACAATCCCTAATGCTAAATGTAAATTATTACTTACAACAGAAGAACTTGGATTTTAAATTAACACATGGAAATAAAAATGATTTATTTTGTTCTTGTTGTTTTTTTTAATAGTTATTTGGGATTTGATCATGCTGCAACATTATTTCACATCCGAGACAGCCCTGCTGATCCTGTGGAAAGGCCAATTTACCTTACTAACACTTTCAGTTTTGCGATCCTCATTCACGATGTGTTGCTACCAGAAGAAGCCAAAACAATGTTTAAAGTATGTCCAGGAGCCCTCATACTTTTAATTTTCCTGGTCTACCAACTAGGTGATGCTGACACTTTGTTTTTTTTCTCTTCTGTCATTTCTCAGGTTCACAACTTCAGCAAACCAGTCTTAATTCTTCCTAATGAATCAGGATACATTTTTACCCTGCTTTTTATGCCTTCCACATCATCCATGCACATTGATAACAACATTTTACTTATTACCAATGCTTCTAAATTTCATTTACCCGTGCGGGTATACACAGGCTTTTTAGATGTAAGTATATTATCCATCTTTAACATTTAAACTCCCTGCCCACCTTTAATGTTTTCAGATCTTATTAGGCAGTCGTGTTACATACGGTTTGCCATTATTTGTGCTCTGCAAATTGATCTAATTCTCCTAGTCAGTTTTTACCTTTCCAGGTAACTAGTTTTTACCTTTTCTGGCAGCTCTCTCTTGTGATACAGTTGACTTCTCTAGTTACAGTCTCTACTTAGATCTTTTCCACATTCTGCTTTCTCTTGGATATGCTTTTAAACTATTGTAATAATGGGGAATATAGAAAAGAACTAAATAGAAAAATGATAGGTAGAAAAAGAATAATACAAGGAAGGTGAAGAGGGATATACGTAGGGAAGAGATGATCAAAACCAAGAAATATCGGGACAAAGAAGAGAATCAGATAGTAAAGAAGAAAATAAGGTAGTAAAGACGCAAAGTTGGAAGATTATATATGACACAGAAGGAAACAATGAAGGTACTCCTGGTACAGAAAATAAGCAGGGGGAAAAATTCCAAACAAAGCTATCTTGAGAGTGATCAATGAAAGAAGCTTAGATAAGAGAGAAAACTGTTAGGAAAGATAAAAAGAAAGCTAGGACATCTAGAAATGTAGCCCTTTAAATAGTTGGCATCGATTAGAATTTTAGAGCTGGAGGGACCTTCAGTAATGTCTCGCTCCTGCTTCAGTTATTTTGTTTCAGTGATCATTGGTGATGCTTGCTGAGACCACATGCTTTTTGCCCGATCCCCTAGGGTTCCACTAAACCTCTCTTAGTAGTTTAGCTTCCTGCCTCTTTCATGTGCCCTCAGAGGAAGAATAGCAACTCAGCAGAAGCCATGGCTGTTTTCATTTCTGATTACTCAAAAGACTTTCGTCATACAAAGCCCTCAACTATGTCGTATAAATGTGTGGTTTTATGCATATATACAAAAGCATAGGAAAGCATAGAACTGTAATTTTTTTTTTTTTTAGATGGAGTCTCGCTGTGTTTCCCAAGCTGGAGTGCAGTGGTGCAATCTTGGCTTGCGGGTTCAAGCGATTCTCCTGCCTGAGCTCAGCCTTCCGAGTAGCTGGGATTATAGGTGCACACCACCATGCCCAGCTAATTTTGGGGGGAACTTTAATACATCTTTAATATAGTTACTTTCTCTTCATAATATTGTTAGATCAATGTGACTTTTTTTTAATCTGGTTCTTTTATATCTTTCCAGTACTTTGTATTGCCCCCCAAAATAGAGGAACGTTTCATAGATTTTGGAGTACTGAGTGCTACAGAAGCAAGTAATATTTTATTTGCAATTATAAACAGCAATCCAATTGAGGTAAAAACCTGTTTTTATTCTAAATCACATTTAAGGATTTTATGCTTGTGTTGTGATAATCATTTTCATATCTTTTTTTAAAGTTGGCTATAAAAAGTTGGCATATCATAGGAGACGGTTTATCAATAGAACTTGTAGCTGTGGAAAGAGGCAATAGAACTACAATAATTTCAAGCCTGCCAGAGTTTGAAAAATCCTCTTTATCAGATCAATCATCGGTAAGTAAACTTTCTATTGTCTCCTTAAAGTAAGATGGATGTCTAAACTGCAAGTGGAAGATCATTGCTATGCTACATGTATCACTATTATTTTTATGCAGTTCATAATAGTGTTGGTTACTTGCTATTAAAAGGACCTTATAGGTAATGTAATTCAACCCCCTATTTTTATGATGAGGGCACTGAAACCCAAAGGGGTTTAATTCTGCCTTGTCATAAAAAGTTCTATAACACACAAATTTTTAATTATCTTTTTGTAACACAAGTGTCATTACAGGAGAGATTCCCATGGGTACTAAACTAACCTTGTGTTCATTGAGTTTACTGGGAAAAAGAGATGGCCCTGAACATTGGTAGAAAATATTTTCAATTATGCAATAATACGTCTGTCCAGATACTGCCTCAGTATCAGTGAGGCAAACATTGTTTGATCACTGTGAGTCTGCCCACATATTTTTACCTGTCTAATAAACATGTTACAGTTGGTTGTCAGAGAGCGCTAAACAAGAGAAAACAAATTTATTAGTTTCAGCACTCACCAGTACTGAAAGGGGAACTTGGAGTTTATACCTACTGGGAAAAGAATTAGAATCACAATCTGTGAGAAGGAGCATCAGATAATCTCATCTGCAGGTTAGAATAGAATTTCTTGGGGCAGTTTTACAAAAGGAAAAGCAAGTGTCCTTATACACAGAGAGTGTTGACAAACACGTTTCCGTGGAATGCCATAGGTCTGGTGTTTTGTTATATCTGACCTCAGCTGCCCTGAAGATATGAATATTAACATTACAGAGTGACATCCACAGCTTGAAGCAGAGCCAGCTGTGTATACAATTGTGGCTCCAGTGTGCCTGAAAGGTTGGTGGAAGGCTGTGTCCCTCTGCTCCAGCCCCTTTGGCCATACAGGTCCATGGGTAAAGAGTGAGGAGCTTTATTAGCAAGAGGACCACACCCCTCCCTCTTTCAGGAACCAGCTTTTTCAGTGGCCCATGGAACAAGTGTAGTAGAGAAATATCAAGGGATGGACACTATTTTGAGATATTTGTACACAGTGATATGGTAATTCAGTGTCATACTGGTATATGTTAGGATTTGTTAGTCATTTTATCGCTACACCCTTCATGTCCATTTTAATAGGAAACTTCAACTAACAAGGCTAATGAATGATACCATTTCTACTATCTACAGGTAACATTAGCTTCAGGCTATTTTGCAGTCTTCAGAGTCAAACTTACTGCAAAAAAATTAGAGGGGATTCATGATGGAGCCATCCAGATCACAACAGACTATGAGGTAAGGACTTTATGGGGATTCATGGCAGTGGGGTTTTTCTGAATAAGTCAGTCCTTTCTTGTCTTTATGAAACCAAAGAATTAAGTTTACTCAGAGTTACAGTTTACCAGTTTCATACCTTAAAAACTGAGCTTTCGAGAATAGTTTATAGAATATTGATGTTCATAGGCTCATAGTTTTTTGATAAAACCCAACCCTCCTAACCTAAAAAGCAACTTCAGAAGAATGCCTTTAGCACGTTTAGAATTGCTTTGTTAGAAACCTGCTTAAACAGATGGTTATATCATTGCACAGACCCCAGCTGAGTGTCCTGAGTTAGATACCTCTGATTGTTCCTACAATCATAAATAGCAGTCAGGGTCTAACATTTCTGAAAAGGAAGATAAAATCAGGAGATCATGTCCTAATCTGAGTGCTCACATTTATATTTTCATGAGTCATTCAAAGTCAAGGGACTAAAGGTTACTAAGCTTTTAATTAAAATATTCTGTGTGGAGCTTATTTTGCATTCAGTAAGATTTTGAATGGATGTATTTCTGCCAGACCTAAATGTTTTTAATTGTATATCTAAAAGCTCTTAGGAAAGTCAAGCACTGTTAAATTCAACAACTTACCACCTTTGCCCTCATAGATGTTTTCAGTGGACACAACTCCCACGTGGAAAAAAAATGTAATTATAAAATAAACAGAATTGGCCATTTAATAATAAATGATTTGTTGAGAGTATGTCAGGTGAGGAATTCATGGTTATCACTCATGACAGAAATAAGTACATTTCAGAATTCAGATAAATTTTTGTTAATATGGGTGAAAATAAGAATTAAGAAAAATACCCTAGAGAAGTAGCTTTGAGAGTTACTAACAGTATGGGATGGGATTCTAACTCTAGAATGTTCAGTGCATTTTTAAAAATTAGGTTGATGTCTATTTCTGTATCAAAAAAAAAGCTATATAACTCTAGATATGCTGGATTTTACATACATTGTTTTAGGAGTACAGTTTGACTTTCTTTTTTAAAATAATCTATTTTTATAGATTATTTGTATTTTGAAATACAAAAATATTTGTATTTTTAAAAAATCTGTCTTCATTGCTTCCCCGTTGTTTAGTCTTTTTTACGTGTTTTCAATGAATCACTGAGAAATCTGTGGAAATGTGTTATATTTCATTACATTTTATGGAGTACATTGGACAGATTAAACAGTATCTATGGGTGATTTTAATATTGGTATGGAGCTGGTTATTGTCAATATTAGTCCCAAAATTAGGTTAACCCCAAAATATAATGCAATAGTTATCAAGATCAGGCTAAGTCTTAACTACTTATCTATCATCATCTTCTTGACTTCACAGATCCTGACAATCCCTGTGAAGGCTGTGATTGCAGTAGGCTCACTGACCTGCTTCCCTAAGCACGTGGTTCTTCCACCTTCCTTTCCAGTAAGACCATTAATACACACATTTTTCTATTGCTCGTTTTTTGCCTTTGCCTTTAGCTCTGTGTTCCTAGAATCTTAGAGTAAAGTCAGTTATTCTTTATTAGTCATTTATTTTAAAGACATTATACCAGGTTCTTTAGAAGATGTAAAGAGATACAGTCCTTTTCCTCAAAAAGTTTTCTATCTAGAAAGGGAAATGGACCCACAATTCAGAGCTATAAAGCGGAATGTAGAAGTTGCCCTAAGAGGAGTGAAAATAAAGTGCTGTGAGGGAAATACACGTCTCACTGATGCAGGGGCTATGGGAGCCAGCTTAGAATTTCTTCCAACAGAGATGGAGAAGGGGTGGCAGAGACGTGAATCTAGGGCCAGGGCGCAAGCTCAACAGGGATGCAGAGGCAGTAAAGTCTGAAGTTGGTTCAGGCAATAGTGAGTTGTCCAGTTTGGCAAGAATTGAGAAAAGTTTTAAGAGAGAAAATGGAATGGTCTGTGGGGGTGATAACATGGAAAAAACTTAAATGCACTTAAGTTCATGGGAATATGAAGTTTTTGAGTGAAGACTTGACATCATCAGAGCTGAGCTTTAAAGACTGGCTCTCTGCAGAAAGAAATAGAGGACACAGATGAAAGTAACAATAGAGTGCCTGGAGGCCAACCCGCAGACTGGCCAGAGTCCATGTGAAAAGTGCCAAGGGGAGTTTGAGCGCATGGCTGTGGCTGAGGCAGTAAAGTCCCTTCATACCTCCAAGCCTTTGTTGTTTCTTTGCCTCGAATGCCCTTCCTCCTGTCCTTCCTTCAAAGAACTCCTGCGTGTCTTTCAAGATTCAATTCCATTGTCATCTCCTCTCTGAAGATTTCTTGACTCCTCTAGACAATACTGGTTGTTTCATGTGTGATCCTAGAATACTTTGAAATTACCCCTCTTGCTGCAAGCCTCGTATTGTGCTATAAATATTTCCTTATAAGTTGGCCTCCCCAGTGAGAGTCTGAGATCCTCTAGGAAACGGATGAGAGATCGTTTCTTCCCAATAGCAGGCACTTAGTACATAATGTATGGATGAAGGAACAAATGATGGAGAGGGAACATAGGCAAGAGACATTGCAGGTGAATCATTTGAACTGTGCTTATATCCTAAAGAGGTCATACAAACTGAAACAAGTATGGGGAGGAGGGTGGGTAGAGGAGGCAGGAATATGGCTTAGAGTTTGAGCCTGGAGAACAAAGACAAAACAAATGAGAAAACCAGGAGAAGATGCTGCCTTTTGCAAGAAGATGGTGCAGTCCATTCAGGAATACCAGGGCAGATGTAAAAGTGTCTCACATCCTAGTGGTAGGAGACAGTAGTGGGTTAAGAGAAACAAGACATTGCAAAATCTTAATGCTGTATGCAAGTTGAGCATCCCTAACCCAAAAATCTGAAATCCAAAATGTTCCCAAATCTGAAACATTTTGAGACCACAAGTGGAAAATTCTACACCTGACCTCTTGTAACAGGTTCCAGTCAAAACTTTGCTTCATGCACAAAATTATTTTAAATGTTGTATAAAATTACCTTCAGGCTATGCATATAAATGTATATGAAACATAAATGAATTTCATGTTTAGACTTGGGTTCTGTCCCCAAGATATCTCATTATATATATGTAAATATTCCAAAAAAAAAATCTAAAACACTTCTGGCCCCAAGCATTTTAAATAAGGGATACTCAACCCTTACAGTAAAACCTGAATTCAATATTTAACTCCTTAAAAATACAAACTTTGAATTACTAGTTTCATCACATTTAAGTTTGGGTCTTAATTAAATCCTCATCTTCCTGTCATTCCACTTTGTACTGACTATACTAAACTCTTCGTTATTTATCCAAAAGAGCCATGTTTCTTCCTTCCATTACCTTCTCAATCAATGATGTCCTTAATCTCTGCGTAAACTCTGGCAGGGAAAAGTTCAGTTCAGAAGACAGCAGATGACACAGTGAAAAGCCCCATGAGTGGAATAAATGAGAAAGCATGTGTATAAAAACAAGATGTTGGTCTGGATCCATTTGTGTTGCTATAAAGGAATCCCTGAGGCTGGGTGATTTATTTTTAAAAAAGAGGTGTATTTGGTTCACAGTTCTGGAGACTGTGCAGGAAGCATGGCCCCAGTGTCTGCATTGGTGAGGGCCTTAGGCTGCTTCCACTCATATTGGAAGGCAAAGAGGAGCTGGCATGTGCAAAGATCACATGGCAAGAGAGAAGAGAGGGAGGTGCCAGGCTCTTTTTTAACAACCAGTGGTTGTGTGAACTAATGGCATGAGAACTCATTACTACGAGGTCAGAACGCACCAAGCCATTCATGAGGGATCCACCCCTGTGGCCCAGACACCTTCCATAGGGCCCCACCTCCAACACTGGGGATCACATTTCAGCATGAGATTTAGAGGGGTTGGTTTTGAACTGCTTCAGATTAAGCTTTCAGATATCTCTAGGAGGCTTACAGGACCAGATACTTGCTTGGAATTCTAAATTACCTCTATATTACCAAATCCTGTCAATCTCTTTATCAGATGGAGAATACTAGAGCTTACTGGAAACAATACCTCAGAATAAACATTTCATGTAACTCATAGCTTAATATTTGAATAGAATTGTGAGAGCAGCATTTATATCTGTGAGCTCTTTTGATCCCCCACACCCCCAAGAGACAAGGCACGAGGGAAGTAGTTATTTCAAGTACGCCAAGTGCGGTGACTGCCCGAGGGCTCCTGTCGGCATTGCAGCTGCATGCCCGCCCTCTGCTGGCTGTCGGGTGTTTTAGCCTCACTGGGCTGTAAATGAGGAGCGCTGGCCTCAGTGTCACAGTCATTGCGCCCTTTTTCCTGTGCACGCTCTTCACTTCTGTATTTTTTATTCCAAATATTTAAAAAGTGGGTTTAATCATTTCAGAGACCTCTTCAAATGAGTAGGAATCTACAAAAAGTAAAATTTTGTATTCAGCCAAAAGAAAGATTGTAATATTCTTCTGGAGGATTACGTAAATTATTTAATTTTTTAATTTAAAATTTGGTACCCTGTCACAGACAGAAGCTTGTGACTGGTAAGAGCAATTGCTGGTTATTTAACAGTTTTATTTGTGTGCTGGGGTTTTTGTTTGTTTGTTTGTTTGAGATGGAGTCTCACTCTGTCACCCAGGCTGGAGTGCCGTGGTACGATCTCGGCTCACTGCAGCCTCCGCTTCCCGAGTTCAAGTGATTCTCCTGCCTCAGCCTCCCCAGTAGCTGGGACTACAGGTGTGTGCCACCATGCCTGCTAATTTTTCGTGTGTATTTTTAGCAGGAACAGGGTTTCACCATGTTGGCCTGGCTGGTCTCGAACTCCTGGCCTCAAGTGATCCACCCACCTTAGCCTCCCAAAGTGCTGGGATTACAGGCATGAGCCACTGTGCCCAGCTTGTGTACTGTTTTAATAAGATACTTGACAACCCATAATTTCAAAAGATGTGTAATTTCTCTTTGATACAAATGACATATATTTTTCCTAATGAAGAGACTTTCTTTTAAAAAAAATTGTGATTTTGTCCCCTTTGGCTTTAGATTTTAGAATTCAGTGATTTCAGGGCATTCTTGCCTGGGTGTAAACAAACCTTGCTTACCAAACTGAAAGTAACCATTCCCTTTATCTAAAGCTATCTCTGTTTGTACCTTTGTTGGCATCCTCAGTATCTTAACATGAAAGTGTGAATGTTAACGTCAATCAGTTGTCACAAGATTGCAAAGATTTGTCCTCCTGATTTTTCTGTAACATGCCACAGCAAGAAAAAAAAGTTTTTTGGTGAGGTTTTTTGGCTGTTGATTACAATTTAAAGATTATCAATTGATGAACATTCTAAGATGTCTTTTGGGCTTTGGTTTCCTAGAAGTATGCTTGTCTACTCTGAAACTTGTGATCTTAAGAAAATTTAACCATATACAAATGAGTTTGTTCTTTGCTTTCTTCCTTCAGGGGAAAATAGTTCATCAAAGTTTAAATATTATGAATTCCTTCTCACAGAAGGTAAAAATACAGCAAATACGATCTTTGTCAGAAGATGTGCGATTTTACTATAAACGATTACGGGGCAATAAGGAAGACTTGGAGCCAGGAAAAAAATCAAAGGTTTGAAGATATTATATTTGAGAATTCCCATTGGTTAACATTTTGTTTTATGACCTCCTGTGGATTTGGGATTCATGGTTCTCCTGTGCCTCTTTATAGATTGCAAACATTTATTTTGATCCTGGACTACAGTGTGGGGATCATTGCTATGTTGGCTTGCCTTTTCTATCCAAATGTAAGTGACCTTGCTGTTCTCTCTCATGTCTTCACTTCCCCCAAAATACTCTTTTAGTAAGAGGCCGCCACTTTTAAAGTACATTGCTGTCTTTTGTTACTATAGAAATTATTTGAAGGAAAATTGACAAGTGAGTATAGATGCAGGTTAAGTATGTTTCCTTGTTTTAGCTGAACCCAAAGTGCAGCCTGGTGTAGCCATGCAGGAAGATATGTGGGATGCTGACTGGGATTTGCATCAAAGCCTGTTCAAGGGATGGACAGGAATAAAGGAAAATTCAGGTCATAGGTGAGTGGTTTATGTTTATTTATTTTAGCCATCTTTACAAGATGACTATTGAAACATAATGCTTTCTAAATTATATTCTTATGTTAGATTATTTTGCTTTATAGCTAAGAAAGAATGCCTAATTTTCAGAAAGTTATTAGTGAGGCATCTTAAATTGCCATTTTAACTGTATGTTGCTTGGAAATATACATACTGTCATTTTTCTCTTTTCTGTGGTGCTTTAGATATTTCTTACACTCCAAGAAAATATTTGAAGTTGTTCTTATGTAGGATGACGACAGTATTCACCTTAGACTCATCCATTTGCATAGGAAAGAAAGTTTTTTACCTACCACTGATGTCTGTTAAAGGCAAGGGAAACATTTTCTAGGTTTACCCCCACCTAGGCACTTGGTACAAGACCAGAGTGTCTGTTTTCTTATTGTGAAAAGAATACCTCCTTCCTTTTTTTTTTTTTTTTTTTTTTGAGACGGAGTCTCACTCTGTCACCAAGCTGGAGTGCAGTGGCGTGATTCTCCTGCATCAGCCTCCCAAGTAGCTGGGACCACAGGTACATGCCACCATGCTTGGCTAATTTTTGTATTTTTGGTAGAGATAGGGTTTCACCATGTTGGCCAGGATGGTCTCCATCTCTTGACCTCGTGATCCACCCACCTCAGCCTCCCAAAGTGCTGAGATTACAGGCGTGACCCACTGTGCCCAGCCCACCCCCTTCCTTTCTAAGTGCTGAGCTATTCGGGAGCACACAGGGCTCCATTCAGACAGGCCCCACAGTGTTTCTTTGGCAGGTAGGAAATGTGCATCTAATGACAAATCAATACTGCACCCAGATTCAAAAACAAAAAATGTATTGATTTGGTAGTATAGAAATCTGATCTTTTCATGTACTTCAGAAAAGAATTTGACTAGAATAATGATAGTATGGCAGCTGATGGAAACTGCTCTTCTCAAGCTGCTAATTTGAAATATATTTGTTAGTATCAGGATATTCCCATTTAAGAGTACTGTAAATTCTCAAACCATTAATAATTGGAGGGTTTGTTTATCTGAACTCTCTGCTATGAAAAGTTTTCTTAAGGCAAAAGAAAGTCGAATGTTTACTTTAAAAAGATGGTTAAAATGAATACAAAAGAGACTTCCTCTAATGGACTTGCTAAGAGAACACTAATTAAAACTCTCCTTTGTACCCTGTATTTCCACAGTGGACATTATAAAGGACAAGCAAGCCCCAAATGTTAATGTCCAGTTATGAACAAATAACTTACAGTGTTGTCCTATGCTCAGCTGCTAAGGGGCCTCTTCACCTCCTACCCACAAAAAGCCTGCCCTCCTCTCTGTGTCCCCAGCACCCCATTGCTAAGACCTTGGCTCCCTGTCTATCTTGAGTGCACAGTAGATGTGATATTCTCCCTGATCCTGCCTTTGTGTTACTTTGTTATGTGTGTGTTACAGAGGATTTCTGCTACTAGTCATATAAACTTGTACTCTTACCAGTATTAGAGTATCATAACACTACAACAATAGAGTTAGGGGTTAAAATATGCTTCAGCGTTTAGTCCCAGGAATCTTAGCTCCATTTATAATATTGTGTCTTTGGGAATGTGTTCTGAGTTCTAAGCAACTGGCTTATACACACTTATAAGTAGGGAGATATTCAGATGAGGTCTTGAATATTGCTGAAAACTTTACATGTGTCTGCACAAAACCCTCGTAGGTTTTACCTCTGTTGTCAACTGATGTCTTCATTGAATCTGAGGACTCTGTTTTGTCTTTATATCAAGGGGGAAAAAAGCCATATGCCAAGCAATGTACTGCCTTCTCATTAGTCCTACTGAAAATGTTTTTAGCACCCTGCTTGTAGATGTCTAGATCTTTCCTCTAGGCACATAAGATCCTTTAGGATCTGCGTAACATCATGTATTATCTTTATATGCCTGCCTTTTCTAAATAGGTTATCTACTATAGGCCAGCTTTTCTTACTGAATTTATACTTGGAAAGGTTTTTCGAAACTTACGCGGGATTACATTAATGCCATTGGTATTATTCCTAAGATTTATCATCCTTTCTATATTCAGTACAGAAACAGAGGATCTGTGACAGATATTTTGGCAACTCTTTGCACCAATATAGAGACATCATATAGCATTACAAGCATAGTAAAATATTAGAATGAATAAATGTGTTTTTTCAGGGCCAGCAAAAAATTTCTCAAGTACATAAGCCTAATTGAATTTCTTATGTTCAGAAGACTCAAATATTTCATTTTGATACAGTGACTTACAAATTGTTTTTCTAGATTGAGTGCTATATTTGAAGTAAATACAGACCTTCAAAAAAATATAATATCAAAAATCACTGCTGAGCTCTCCTGGCCTTCCATACTTAGCTCACCCCGGCACTTGAAATTTCCACTTACTAATACAAACTGCTCCTCAGTAAGTATTCAAAGTGACATTGGTTTTTGGAAATACATACTAGGATTATAAAGTATTTACTCTTAGCTTTAACTATAGAAATCTTTCATTTAATGTTTCATTATTTTGTTTAAGGAAGAAGAGATTACTTTAGAAAATCCTGCAGATGTTCCTGTCTATGTTCAGTTTATTCCTCTGGCTTTATATTCCAACCCTTCAGTGTTTGTAGATAAGTTAGTATCAAGGTAAGTATTGCTTGGGATCATCACAGTGTTTCTATGTAGTATTGAATTAGTATTTTATTCACTTAAAAAGCCTTATTTGCAGCTCATACAGATTAATAGATTTGACGAGAAGTTCTGGATCTATAAGGTTGAGAGAAGGTTTTAGGGAGGTTTAGGTTGATACTGTGCAAAGCATCCAGAAAAACTTTCAATATAAGGCAAGAAAAAGTAATATGGAACTCCCTTCTAAAAATGTGTAAAGAGAAAGTAGATGAAACCTTTCAAATATTCTAGTTTTGAAAAGTGAACAAAATATTAATTACAAGTTGTGGCCTTTAATTTTCTTAAGGCTATAAATCTGGTCATATTGATCTCAAAACCTGACAGACAATAATTTGAAAATAAAGCACACACCTGATAATCACTCCATAACTCCCTTAACTGTGATGTTGCTTATGAATAAATATGTGTACATTTTTTGTTTTAGGTTTAACTTGAGTAAGGTGGCAAAGATAGATTTGAGAACACTAGAATTTCAAGTCTTCAGAAACAGTGTAAGTATTCAAACTTCATACTATTCCAAAGAAATTATTTTATAATATGATCAATATAAATATGAAAGAAAATTATTGGCTACTCTTAAATTTGGCTGAAGGGTAAGTTACTGAAGAAGTCAGAGCAGTCCAGTAATTATTTCAGAGGCAAAATAAATCAGGAAGAGTAGGTGGGATTTAGATCAAGGTGAGGCACATTGAGTAAAAGGTTCGTATTTATGGGCATTAAACATTAAGCCCATGAAGGTTTGTAATAATAATTACAGAAATTCTGAGAATATATAGATGAGGTAAATATTAATACATCATTGATTTTTATTAAGCATCAAAATATTGAGCTCAGTCATTTACATTTTCATTCTGGATACTTTGTAATTAAATTGTAAGCCATCCATGAATGCTAAACCCATGACTGGCTGTGTTTGTATTTAGCATGGTAATATGCATGATTTTCACTCAATGGATAATCTTTTATTTATAAACATATACATAAACTGGTTTGTTCTAGGAACCAAACTATTTTCTATTATTTAGGCCAGGCTGAGCAACCACTAACCACACGTTATTAAATAAGACCTAATGTAAGGGTGTGTGTTGGGAACTTAACACTTGGAGCTAAGGCTCCCTGCAAACTGGTCCAAGCCTTTTGGCCACCATGCCCTTGTTTCTGCCCAAGGCCAAATTCAAATCTGGTTCTCTGATTCCAGAAGCCTTGCCCTTACCATTGTATCATGTGGTCACTGCTGATCAGGAATTGCTATGAGCCTTTTCAAACCAGATCCCTTGTAGTTCTTGAAATACTGTATTCTTTCCCATAGCTCCATGTTTTAATCTGTAAGGCATATATTAGCCCAATCCTTATTAGAATAGTTTTTATAACTCTGTCTTTAAGGCGAGCTTACATAAGAAAGTAATATTCAAAGTAGTATTTTTTTCTGTCAAATAATGGCTGGGACACTAGACTAAAGTTTAGACAGTCTTGTATTCCAGCCTCATGCGCGGCTCTGGGAATCTTTTCGTGCTTTGCTTTTCCCATCTGTAAGATGCCAAAGTAACAAATGTTATTGGAAGTTATCTAGAAGGCTCAGTAACCAGAACTTCCTTTCATTCTGCTTTTCTTTTTCTTTTTTTTTTTCTTCTGAGACAGTCTGGCTCTGTCACCCAGGCTGGAGTGCAATGGTGTAATCTCAGCTCATTGCAACCTCTGCTGCCCGGGTTTGTGCAATTCTCCTGCCTCAGCCTCCCGAGTAGCGGGATTACAGGCACGTGCCACCACACCTGGCTAATTTTTTTTTTTTTGTATTTTTAGTAGAGCCGGGGTTTCACCATGTTGGCCAGGCTAGTTTCAAACTCCTGACCTCAGGTGATCCACCCACCTTGGCCTCCTAAAGTACTGGGATTACAGGCGTGAGCCACAGTGCCCGGCCCACTCTGCTTTTATAATAGGGAGAAATTTCACATAAGTATTAAGTGAGCTAATATTTAACTTTCTTATTTTATTAACTACAAGCCATATTTACAAGATGTAGAACACTGAACTAAGCACTGTGAGAGATAGGAAAATAAGTAAGAGTACTCTAGACGTCAGAAATGTATTCTAAATAAGAAATTCAGGAGGAGGTCCTAGAGTGAGCTTAGAGTAAATTCTATCTCAGGCATCTCTACAGTGCTATAGAATGTGGTTCTCAAAATACTTGGTCTCAGGACTCCCTTGCAGTCTTAAAATTATTAAGGACCCCAGAGAGGTTTCTGGTTTACATCCATCAGTGTTTTGCCATATTAGAAACTGAAACTGAGGCCGGGCATGGAAGATCTTTAAAATAGTGATTTAATTTGTTTAAAATAATAATAAACCTATTCCATTCAACATAGGTAACATCAAAAATGAAAACTACCTATATTTTAAAAAATCATTTAGCAAGGAGAATGGATTTTTTTTAATTTTTACAACTCTCTTTAATGGCTGGCTCCCTGACTTAATAGACAGGTAGATTCTCATATCTGCCTCTACATTCAGTCTCTCTTGATATATTGTTTTGATCGAAGTATGTAATGAAAATCTAACCTGCTACAGACATGTAATTACAAAAAGAAGGAGTATTTTAGTTGCCTTTTTATTTATAACACTGTACATCAGTCTTTTGGAAAATACTGGTTCACGGAGACATGCAGACCTTACAAATGTTGCCACAATTCACTATGCACTATCCAAAAATGAATCATCCTCGCTAATCTAACCACCAGGCTCATCAGGAAACTCTTGAAGTATTGGGAAGCTGTCATGCTCACAATGGTGAATACAAATTATCCAAAATCCTAAATTTTGCTCAAAAGCTTGAATTTTATTAGAAACAAATACTTCAGTAGGCTCACTTATTTCTGTGAAAATACCTGCCAGATGCCCAAGTCTGAATAACCATGGACTGTCTGTCATTCTTTCAGACATAAACGGTGTTCCATGAGAAAAGCAGCTAGTTCAGCTTCCATCTCAAACAGCTTTTCAAAACAACATGGTAGCTGTAGAAATACTTTTTACATACTTCCCATTGTATCCCACAGAATATTAAAGACATGCTCCAGGGTTGAAGTTTTTATGGCATAATCGAGGACTTTTTTTTTTTTTAAATACAAATGAATGACACTGAAAAACACAATGGCTGCTAGGAAAGTTTGATACCACTGCTTTGATGCATGCTAAGGGGTCAGCAGTTTTACCCTCCATGGCTTTTGCTGACCATCAGTGCAGATGCCAACATAGTGAAAAAGACAAATAACGTCTATCGGTATTATTATGAAAATAGTTTTGACATCGTGGTGGATACTCTGACAGGATCCCTGAGATCCCCAGGGGTCCAAGGGTCACTCTTGGAGAACCACCACTATAAAATTATTAAGGTCCTGAATGGTATACGGGAGGCATCACAACATCTTAAAGTTTTCCCCAAACCATGAGAGTTTAAATTAGCTAGTGCTTGCTGGGAATATATGTATAGTACATCATTGTGTCCATCAGTTAATCAGAGTAGTTGATTTAAAAGGGAAATTACTCACCAACCATCTTGAAGCAGTTGGAATATTCTTCTGTCTTAGTGGACTTTGACAGAAAGGAAAAAAATAGCAGTTAACACTTGAACAACACAGGCTTCGACTGTGCTGACGCACGCATACATTTTTTTCAATCAAGTGCAGATGGAAAATACAGTTTTCAGGATGCAAAACTGCATATATGGAGAGCCCTACTTTTTGTAGGCACATTCCACAGTGGCCAACTGCTACTTGAAAAATCGCAGATTTGGTTATGCCAGGAATCCTGGAACCAATCTCTGGCATGTACAGAGACAACCGTATTTACCTCAGAAGCAAGAATTAAAAGTAATGTGCTTCATAAAGTCTGTTGACTCTGAGTTAATGTTTGTGGAATCATGCTGAAGCAAGTAGCTAGATCTCTATGTGTGAAACACACACCGATCTATGCCAGGGGGAGTAGAAAACAATACAAAATGCACCCTCCTTCCATGATAGCAGAAGCCATGAAGAACTGGTGGATGTTTATAGCCAAGCGTTGACAACCCTTCCCTCAAAAAAGTTTACACTTAATGTTGCTTAAAAACCAGAACGGTATATCCTTATATGTGACCTGTGACTGTTTTTGTAATAAAAAAGCAAATGTTTTTCAACCTTAACTATAACTGGCTGTCAAAAAGTCATATTTTGAATATTAAACTAAGCTATGCTTTAAACTTTAAATCATTGGGTGTTTATGAAACAGTAAGCGTGTGTAACCTTCAAAATAAGATTCAAGGAGAAATGTATAGGAATTGGAAATCTTTTTACATTTAAACATTCGGTGCAGCCTGAAGACCCTTCAGCTGGTCCCCTTCAGAGGGGAGGAGTGGCGTGGCAGTGGCAGGAGGCCTGAGGTGTTGGCCCTGGTCCCCTTCAGAGGGGAGCAGTGGCGGGAAGCATCAGGAGGCCTGGGGTGCTGGCATTGGTTCCACAAGTGTTTGCTTTGTGCTAATGTGTCTAGCTGATCATCTTAGGTTTGTGTCCTTTTCTGTGTGTGGAATATTTCAAATTTTTAGGTTAAAAACAAAAAAGATATGTATCCAAAAACAAATGCCTTGTGCAAACATTGAGGACTTTATTTGGTGACCTGGGGAAGAAAGCCCCTTTTTGGACTTAATGTAGAATATGAATCTCATCGTTGGTTACTCTGTGCTGCTTTCCAGCTAACCCATATCTAAACATGACAGATAAAATTGTTTATGCATTTAATCAGTTTGAGAAACTATACTGGGCTCTAGATGGGGTGTAAGCGAAGAAACATTCTTCCAGAGAATATATTCATGACTCCTCTCTGTTTACCCAATGATTCAAGGCTCATCCACTGCAGAGTTCAACAGGATTTATGGAGGGCCTCTCTCGACATTTAATTTTAAACCTAATTTTAAAACCTGGAGAAAAGAAATCTGTCAAAGTAAAGTTTACTCCAGTTCACAACAGAACTGTTTCTTCACTTATCATAGTCAGGTAGGTTCTGTGATATAGGTGTGGGTTCATTTTTACTACTTACTTAGAAGTCCTCACTTGTTTTAAGATGAATTTGCATGTCTAACTTATGAAATAGTTTGAATTCACTTTGTCCAAAACATGCACACACTCCATGCCTGATGAAACATACCTTTGTTATCAAATGCATAGTTCAAAAACATGAATGGTGTCTTAATGTGTGTCTCTTAAAAATAAAAACTTGCTCTTCTCTGTGTATTTTTGAATTCTTAAAGTATAAATTCTCACCATTAAATTTAATTTCTATGTGGTGCTCTGTAAAATAACAGTAGAAATTGCAAATCAAAAGATTGTGCAGATTTAATGAGAGAAAAATCTGTAATTCTCATTCTTGCATAGAAATAACCTGACTGTGATGGATGCTGTGATGGTCCAAGGACAAGGAACAACTGAGAACTTGAGGGTGGCAGGCAAGCTTCCAGGTCCAGGAAGCTCCTTACGCTTTAAAATCACGGAAGCATTGTTAAAAGATTGTACAGATAGTAAGTCTTCCTAACAGTTTCAAGGACACTAATTTCAGCATTTGCTTTCAACAGTAAATAATTTCAAAAACAACATTATTTCTGTATGTGCACCTGTGTATATTAGTTATGAATGCTTAAGAGCTTAAGGAAATTCCATGTTGTGTTTAGAGTTGTTTGATTTGGATCTTAAAAGATTTAAAGTGTTTGCACTCATTGCATACCTTAGCTGATTTACTCTCAGTATGAAATGTGAAGTATAGTCAACTTTTGCCATCTAAAATGATTTATCAAAGTAGATTACCTCATGATGAAATCTGAGGAACAGCTGATCTCTCTGACATGCAGGGATGGTTTATAACCTGTGACATATAGTAATTCATGAATAATGTATTTATCATTTGGACTGGGAGCACATGATGGCAAGATTTAGTCTTATTCCTGATTTTTTATCCTTTAGGTTTAAAACTAAGAGAACCAAATTTCACATTGAAAAGAACATTTAAGGTAGAGAATACAGGACAACTTCAAATTCACATAGAAACCATTGAAATCAGTGGATACTCATGTGAAGGATATGGCTTTAAAGTTGTTAATTGTCAAGAGTTTACTCTAAGTGCCAATGCTTCTAGAGATATAATCATATTGTAAGTATTTTATTTTAAGGTGTAATGAATCACTAACTTTCCTCAAACTCTGTGCAAAGATATGTTTTCATATTTACCAAAGGTCTTTATCCACAAATGCATTCATTTGTTTTTTTTTCACTTAATCTTTGGCTAAGGTATTTCTTCATATCTTAGTTTTCAAAGTTGTAAATTTTTTTTCACTTAATCTTTGGTTAAGGCATTTCTTCATATCTCAGTTTTCAAAAGTTATAAAACTTTATCTCCGAAGTGGATCAGATAATCTTAGAAATCAATTTCAAAATTATTTTCAGGGTTACGTTAAAGCAAAAGATGTTGATGTAAATTCACAGTCCCTCAGCAACAGAGATTTGTTTCATACATGTACAGTTTTTTCACGTTTTGCAGTATACGGATATGTAATATTTTGGTCAGAAGACAGTTTTAATACCTATCTCAGTAATAGCTGCAGCATATTTTAACAATTAATTGATAACTTGTTCTGTTATAAAGTTTATGCAATAAAATGCAACTTCTGTCCCTTAATTGAATATTTAATTTAGTGATCTTTAATGAATATTTACTTAATAAGTAGCTACATTATTGCATATAAGGCATAATGTTTGACACCTAAAGATGCAATGAGGAATAAGACACCTTTCCTCAAGGTACATACAATTAGCAAAAAATAAAAATAGAATAATTGCAACAGTAATCCATACTGCAGGAGATGATGGAAAAATCACTAGGCCCCAGCCAGTTGGTTTGTTTTTTTAAAAAAGACATTATTGGGATTGTAGCCTGGGAAAAGAGCATGGATTTAGATAAAGAAGAAAGAAGGAGAGAAGGACATGAAGCTCAGGACCATTTTCTGAATTAATAATTATGAGAATTTGATTATTGTTATTTTTTAGTGTAATTTCTCTAATTATTCACAGAATACAGTTGTTCCTATTACTGACCATGGGACAATACTTTTTTCATCTTAAAATACGGAAGTTGAGTAAAAGTATCAAACGCAAATTCTGTGTTATATTTCAAAGGCTTATAGGACCAGTATTATATGCAGACTGCTTGTGAGATATTTTTAAAACTTAGCCTTACTACCATCATTCTGTTTTAGGTTTACTCCTGATTTTACAGCTTCTAGAGTTATTCGGGAACTGAAGTTTATAACAACCAGTGGCTCTGAGTTTGTATTTATATTGAATGCATCCCTTCCTTACCATATGTTAGCAACCTGTGCAGAAGCCCTACCCAGACCTAACTGGGAACTGGCTCTGTATATCATCATCTCAGGAATAATGAGGTATTGTGTCTTGTTTCAAGGTTCATATTCATTCAACATTTAACACTGTTGATCGAGTGCCCACTGTGTGCCAGCCACTGTTCTGAGTGCTAGGATATGCCAGCAAACAAGACAGAACTCTGCCTTTATCAATCTCACAGACTGGTGGGAACAGTTAAAACAGAGCCCTTCTTGGGTGGCATATATAATAAACAGTGTTCTTTACCTCTGAAATTTGTTATACAAATTAAGTACATTTTAACATCTTTTTAAAATGCTCAGATAAAGTTACTTGACTTGGGCATATATATAATATACTTAACACAATAGTACCTAGGCCACTTGAAACTGATTAGAAATATTTTTTAAATTCTCAGTGTCTTCATCTGTTCTCAATATATTACTTTGTGTTTCAAGAGTCAGATAAATTCACCTCTAAACTAATTTACATATTTATATCACACATCCTTTAGAGGAAACGGGTTGGAGAGTTGAAACTAAAATTCTTCTTAGTAAAAGAAAAATCAAATTCCAGGCATTTCTTCTAATACACATAATTATTGCCTCCATATAAAACCTCCATGTGAGATGGCATTCTATAAAAATTCATGAGCAGGCCGGGCACGGTGGCTCACACCTGTATTCCCAGCACTTTGGGAGGCCGAGGCGGGCAGATCACCTGAGGTCAGGAATTCAAGACCAGCCTTGCCAACATGGTGAAACCCCGTCTCTACTAAAAATACAAAAAATTAGCCGGATGTGGTGATGCATCCCTATAATCCCAGCTACTGGGGAGGCTGAGGTTGCAGTGAGCTGAGATCGCCCCATTGCACTCCAGCCTGGGCAATAAGAGCGAAACTTTGTCTCAGGAAAAAAAAGAAAGAAAGAGAAAAACTGATGTGCAAACTTTTATCCATAAAACTGTGGGTTTTTTGTTTTTTTTTTTTTTTTTTTTTTGAGACAGAGTCTCGCTCTGTTGCCCAGGCTGGAGTGCAGTGGCACGATCTCGGCTCACTGCAAGCTCCGCCTCCCGGGTTCATGCCATTCTCCTGCCTCAGCCTCCCGACTAGCTGGGACTACAGGCGCCCGCCACCACGGCCGGCTAATTTTTTGTATTTTTAGTAGAGACGGGGTTTCACCATGTTAGCCAGGATGGTGTCGATCTCCTGACCTCGTGATCCACCCGCCTCGGCCTCCCAAAGTGCTGGGATTATAGGCATGAGCTACCGTGCCCAGCCAAAACTGTGGGTTTTGTCTGTTAAAAGTTGTCACAGACAACTTGGTTTTCTATTACATCATATTGTACTTTACCAAGAAACTCTGCCTTTAACATCGAATTTTGTTGCTTGTCTACTAACAAATGAATCCTGATTTTCCAATTTTTTTTACCCCTGCAGTGCACTGTTTCTTTTGGTCATTGGAACAGCCTATTTGGAAGCTCAAGGAATATGGGAGCCATTTCGAAGGCGGCTATCCTTTGAGGCCTCGAACCCGCCCTTCGATGTGGGAAGGCCATTTGATCTCAGGAGAATCGTTGGTATTTCATCTGAAGGAAAGTATGTTCACATGCTGGCAATAAATTCCCTAGTGTACATAGATTTGGCTGATAAAATTACAATAAAAAATAAGTTTCTTTTCATCTTTGCTCAGGAGAAAAAAAATCTTAATTCTGATTACTTAATAACACCCTGTATGGAACTCTGAGTGACTTAGAGCTCATGCTGGATACTGTGTTTTTATTATATTGGTAAGGGTTAAAATACTTTTAGTTAGATCACTGATGGTAAATTATAAATGTTCAGATAGAACAGATGTTAGAGAGTTGTAGAAATTTCCCTATTTCTTGCTATTTTTTCCCTAGTGTAGTTTATATTTATGGTGGCTGTACTGATGAAGTTGAAGTTTTTTTTTAATATTAGATTTTGTAGGTTGCTATTTACTGATCTGCAGTTGGTCCCTTTTTCAGCTTGAACACACTCAGCTGTGACCCCGGTCACAGTAGGGGGTTCTGTGGAGCAGGCGGTTCATCATCCCGACCCAGTGCCGGGAGTCATAAGCAGTGTGGCCCATCGGTCCACCCACACAGCAGTCACAGCAATAGAAACTCAGCTGACGTGGAAAACGTCAGAGCCAAAAACAGTTCAAGTACCTCTAGTAGGACTTCTGCTCAAGCAGCTTCTTCACAGTCTGCTAACAAAACAAGCCCCCTTGTCTTAGATTCGAACACAGTGACTCAAGGTCATACAGCGGGCAGAAAGTCCAAAGGGGCAAAGCAGAGCCAGCACGGCAGCCAGCACCATGCCCACAGCCCGCTGGAGCAGCACCCTCAGCCTCCTCTGCCACCGCCAGTGCCTCAGCCCCAGGAGCCGCAGCCTGAAAGGCTGTCTCCCGCCCCCCTCGCACACCCTTCCCACCCAGAACGTGCCAGCAGCGCGAGGCACAGTTCCGAGGACTCGGACATCACCAGTCTCATAGAAGCCATGGACAAAGACTTCGACCACCATGACTCCCCAGCCCTAGAAGTGTTTACAGAGCAGCCTCCATCGCCATTGCCAAAAAGCAAAGGTAATCATCTCCCACTGCCGGAGATCCGTGATGTGTGAGGGAAAAGCCAGTGCGTGCTTAAGGAGCTATTAAGATTATAGTTGTGGTAAACAACTAATTCAGTAGGTTCCTCTGGCTCAGATTTATCTCCAGTGTTGGACTTCAACTTTTCCATAAAAATGCAATTAGAGGTATCTGTCATAAAAGATATATTTGTATTTCTTAGATTGTTTACCAAAATCAGAAATTCTGTGGACATCTGCTTTTCTTTTCAGCTGCCTGAGATTGTGTTATTGTGATAGATTTAGCTTTTGTTTTATTGTTAAAATAATTTTGAGCACAGGAGTAAAATGGAGATCATCTGCCTTTTAACTCCAAATTAGGATTTCTTTACTTTAGAGCAGGGGTTGGCAGACTACAGTTAGCGGGCCAAATCACCACCTGGTTTTATAAATAAAGTTTTATTGGAATAGAACCATGCTCATTTGTTGGTATATCCTCAGCTTTCATGCTTCTATGGCACAGTTAAGTAATTGTGACCAAAACAATATGGCCCACAGAGCTGAAAATATTTGCTATCTGGCCCTTTGCAAAAAAAGCCAACCCTGCTTTAGAGTTCTGCTTACTGTATTAATTACCTATTTCTGAGTAACAGATGACCTCAAAACCCAGGGGCTTAAAAGAACGTATACTCTTATCTCACAGTTTCTGTGGTCAGGGACATGAGTACAGCTTAGCGGGGTCCCATGGCCCTCACAGGACACAGGACTGCAGTCAAGGTGTTGGCCAAGGCTGATGTCATCTTAAGGTTCAACTGAAGGTGGACCTGCTTCCACGTTCACACAGGCAGTTGATGGTGGGATTCAGTTCTTCACGGACTGTTGGACGGAGGGCCCAAGCTCCTCCTTGCTGGCTGTGGCCAGAGGTCTGTCATGGTTCCTCTCCACAGAGCGGGTCACAGCTTGGCAGTTGGCTCCCCCAGAATGAGCAAACAAGAGGGCAAGGAGGAAGCAGGACGGAAGTCACTGTTTCTTACTATCTAATCTGGGAAGTGGCATCCCATCAATGTTGTAGTATTCTGCTCATTCGAAGTGTGGTCCAGCCCACACTCCAGGAGAGAGAACCGCGCAAGGGCATAAATACCAAGAGGTGGGCACCACTGGGAGCTTGGAAGTCTGCACCACACACAAATAGGTAGACCAGTTTGTAAGCTCCAGAATCAAAAGGTAAAAACCAGTAAATAGCCTCTAGTTGTATTGCAATTTCATCCCTTCACAGCCTGAGCTTTTTTGCATCTTCCTTTCTGTCTTGTGGCAGCCATGCTAATATACATTATTCCAAGCCTGTATCAGTCCCTTCCAGAATGGTTTACCAAGGAGTTTTGGGCTTCAATTTATACGGAAAACAGGGATCTTGGCAGCCCTAAGAGGCCAGAAGAAACTTGACATCCCAGAGTCAAGGAGTTTTAGATAATTTTTTAGTCCCAGGAATACAAAAACTAGCTCTATTGAGTTCTCTTGGAATTACACGCATTCGGATTTGTAAAACAGTAAGATGTCTTGAATATGATTGGTTAACCTCTTCTACAGAAATCCTTTTTGGCTAACCCATTATTAACTGAGCTTACATATTTTAGGGTAATTTTTAGAATAATCTTAAGTGAATACTTAAAAGTTCTTTTTTAATTAGATCAAGTTACATAGCGTTTTCCCCACATTTAGGGCGTGAATAAAATAAATCTGTATTATCCTTTCTTATCACAAAGAAAGAGTTGGGCAGTCAAATTGACTACCTCATTCCTGTGTCAACACAGTCTTCCAACACCAGCGTGATGGGCCAATTCTATTTTCAGGGTCACTCATTGAGAACCTAAATTTTAAAATGAAATGCTTTTTAATTTTCACAGTGGTCCTAGAGTCAACCTACTAAGAGATACTCAGTGAGGGAGCATGGATGCCACATTATTGGTGACTCTTGAGCCTGTGAGGAGACAGTGGTTAGAAGCTTTGCAGGCGCGGCTACTCTACTCACTATCCTTCCCACTGATGCTGTTTGGGAAAAAGGAAGGAGCCTGTATCTATATTTTTTTTCTTCTTCAATGTTTTTATTGAAGTATAGCATGCATATAGACAGACAGTCTTTAAAATGAACTTTAAAAGGTGGGCATTGATCTTGGGGTTGCAAACTAGTAGTATGTTGTGAAACTATAGGCTTCCAGCTGGGCAAAACCTTTATAATCTTTCAAAAGCCTACCCCCACACCCCTGCAAATAGCAGATTTACATTAAATAGTAACATTCTCTTTTTAGAGGCAACACGTTCTTTTTTTTCTCCCCCTGGTATCTCATACTAAAATTATTTCTTATAATGAGCTTATGTAGTTTCTGGTTTTTGGAAGCTGCTCAGGATGACCTCTTCAAGTGAATGTGTTTATCTCCCTGGATCTTGCCTTCTGCGGTTGGATGGCTTGCAAGCCACACAGCCATGCTATGCCATCTCTCCAGTCACTGCTTCCAGTGGAAGATGATGCCCAGAAATGCCGCCTGTTCATGGTTGGCCTGAGCAGGGACTCTTGTTGCTGAATAATCATTAGATTCTGTACTTCTTTGGTTTCTCCCCCCTCTAACACTTAAACCCCATGGACTGGACAGCAGCCACTGCAGGATTGAGGGCTAAAACCCAAGAAAGCCGTGAGCCTGGCACAGTTGGGTCTCAGTGTCTGTTAACCAGAGAAATGATGGCGTCTGTGGCCATTCTCGTTTCTGGCTTTGGCTTTATCAAGGGTAGGGAGAGGCAGAGAGGTGTGGCGTCCTGAGGCCACGTTCTGCCATTAGGCAGGTGCAGATTATATCTTGACTCCGCTCCCTTACTAACTGTGTGACTTGGGAGAAAATGACTCCCCTGAGCCTCCACTTGTTATTTTTAAAGTGAAGAGAACAGTTACTCCCCACATCATAGGATATCACTACTGCCATGGTTATTATTGGGGCAGGAAGTGGCACATGCCATCTGTAGCCTGCTGAGTTGAAGGTGGCTGTGGAGCATCCCAGCAGAAGCATCTGTTAGGAACTTGGTCTCAAGGGTAAGAATTGGGACAAGCAGAGAATCCTGAGGGCAAGGCCAAACGAGAAGGCAGCCAGCAGATAGCATGACAGACAGCATAACAGAAAGCAGTGGAAGGTGTGGTTAGCACATGCCAGCAGGCAGGGCCAGGCAAAGCAGAGGCTGAAGAGTGCTCGCGGAGCCTGGACTTGAGGACATTATTTGTGACCTTGGAAAGAACAGTTTGTGTGAAGCGCCATCACCTCTGACTGAGACCAAGTCACTGTGGCTTAGAGTAACTTTCACATCAGACTGTTAGTAGTGGCCACTAACTAGTGAGTGTTTTGGGAGCTTTTACTCTTTAACCTGTATTTTCCCTATTTAATTTTTAACAAGAAAAAAGTATGCATGTATTGTATGGTAGGTTTTTAAAAAATATAGAGAGTTACAACCAAGAAGGCAATATTTTTTATGAAAAATGAATAATACATGGAAACATGGTGCTTGAAAATATCTCTGGGCCAAGGTCAGAAAGCCTATAGAGCTGAGACAGTGGTGCTGATCCACACTTGCCAAGGTTTCAGACGTGACCACAATTTCTCGTGCACCCTGGTGACTGGCACTGCTTGCTACGGTTTTCCAGTAAGGCAGCGCTGGGCAGAATGGGAGCAAGACCCAGTCTGTGTGATTCTAACTCCTGCACTGTGCTGCCTCCTCGAAGAAAAAGAGGGAGGGGGAAGAAAATGAGGAGATAATTGGTGAAACCATGTGCCCAGGTGGTGGAGTGGGCCGAGACCCAGTTTGGTAGATGATAAAAGGATGGACAGTCCGCAGGTGTGCAGATGTGCGTGAGTTGGTAGAGATGGAGAGGCAGGATACGGGTTTTCACTTGAACTTGAGGAGTCAACTTGAGGCAGCATGTGGGTTTAGGGAAGTTTTTACTTGAACTAAGTCATCCTCTGAGACTGCTGGGGGAAGTGGTAGGGTAGAAACACAAAATAGACAAAGTTTGGAATAGTCAGATTCCACGTTGCTGAGAATGTTGTAGGCCCAGGGAGTCAGCAGGGGCAGGAAACTTGGATCTGTACGCTGGCCCCTTCAGCAACATTGGAGGCCCAGCCGAGGGCCACTGAGGCACTGCCTCAGGTTTGTGTCACTTTCTCACTTGTACCCTGCAGCCCAGTGGTGAAGAATGAAAACTGGGTAGTTGGTGGAGTAGGACAGTGCTGGAGTTCTGTGGGGCAGGGACAGCAAAAAGACAGCGAGTGAGGACGTCACAGGAGTGCTGGCAGGAGAGCGGTGGGGTGCTGTGCTGGCAGTGTCGAATTAGCAACTTGGGGAAGGACCTTTAGCCAGAAGGAACCTCACAGATAGAGAACATGGATGAGTCAAGGGATGGGAAATCCAACAGATTGAATTTCGAGGATGGTGGGAGCAAGGAATGTTAGGAGACTAAGGTTTAAAAAGGAGGTGTGAGTGTAAGGTTTCAGAGGAAAAGCAGTTCTGGGCAATACCAGGTTCGTAGGTGCAGCCTTGGAAATGGGATGTCAGAGTGAGCTAGAGGTGAGGTCCACAGTCCTTATGCAACACTCTGGGTGCCTCGTGTGTTTGAGAATTCAGAATTTTGGAAAGGTATGTAGTCATGCACCACACGATGCAGAAGACTGTAAAAGTAGGTGAACATCAGCAGCCACCAAAAATATATAGTCATATTAAGTTTTGTTTCTAAATGAGTTTGGGGAAAAAAACCTTTGAGAGTTTTTTGGATTTCAGATTTACAGATAAGAGATTGTCCACCTGTATAAGGCCTGGGGCCCAGACAATGGGAGGTCCAGGAAAAGAAGAAGTCCGTAAGTGTGATGCCAGCACCCCTGAAGCCTGGGGAAATTCTTTCTGGAGGTCACAGTTGGTGATTCTCTGGAGGTTGTCCAGAGATGTCCCTCTCAGGTGCTGTCACTGATATGACAGGGCCTAACGTGGGACCACATATGTTCAGAGAACCCATTTGCTAGTGATTGAAACTTCCCTGAAATAGTTCTTTTGGGTGGCAATTAAATGAAATGATTTAAAGTGGGAGAGAGGCAACTAACTAGCTCAGACTAACGATTCATTCAGAGCACCTAGCTCAGACAAATTCATTACACAGCATGTAGTGAAGATAAAGACGAAGTAAATGTCTAGGACATGCTTTTTACATAGATAATTCATACTTTGCCTACATTTAAAACAGATTAGAGGCAGTTTAAATTATCATAGCACATATAAAACAATGAATAAAAGTCAGAAATGGTTTTTGGTGTTTCATCTGTTTTTTAGTTACGGTACTATCAGCAGAAACCTCGAATAAAGTTAGTTGTTACCATTAAGTGTTAAGTTGAACTGCAAATTTTCTGGCAGTTATGGTTGAGGAAAAATGTCATATAGTTCTGAAGGAAAAGGGGGCATAGGAGTTCATCTGGAAAAAACAGTTTGCTGGCATTAAATTCCTGCCTGAATCTGAGGACATCGAATAGTAGAACGGATATCGTGGCTCTGTTACAGAGACTATGGCAATGTTCTTCACATAGATCCTTTCTGTCGGCCCCCCGTCAAACCCAGCATCTTCACATTGAATGAGAGCTCCTCACCTACACCGTGCCTCTCAGATGAACACTCAGTCACCCCCACATGCACAGCATTTATGGTGACCATGGGTAAGTATAGCTAGTGGGTGGTTCTCTACACTAAACATTTAGCAGCCTAAGTGTTCTTCCACACACTGAGGTTAGCCCCAAGGTACCCCACAGTCAGAGACAAATGTTTTTGTCAATAAAGAGTTTTTGGTTTTTGGTTTTTGGGAGTTTTGTTAAGACAGAGTCTCACTGGCTGGAGTGCAGTGGTGTGATCTCAGCCCAGTGCAGCCTCCCAGACTTAAGGGATTCTTCCACCTCAGCCTCCCAAGTAGCTGGAACTTGTAGGTATGCACCACCATGCCTAATTTTTTTATTTTTATTTTTGGAGAGACAGGGTATCCCTATGTTGTTCATGCTGGGCTCAAGCAATCCCTCTGCCTCAGCCTCCCAAAGTGCTGGGATTACAAGTGTGAGCCACATCGTATCTGGCCACTTGCTTGTTTTTTAGCTTTTTATTTTGAGATGCTTGTAGATTCACGTGCAAATAATAAATTCAGAGATCTCTTATACCTTTTACCCAGTTTCTCCCAATGGTAACACATTGCAAAACCACTGTACACTATTACTATACCCAGGATAGTGATGCTGATACAGCCAAGACACAGAACATTTCCAAGCCCACAGGAATCCTCATGGGCCCTTTTCTAGCCACACTCACTTCCCTCCTTCTTCAGCCTACCCCTTAGTCTGGCAACTATGATTCCATTTATGTAACATTCTTGAAATGACAAAATTGTAGAAATGGAGGAGATTAATAGTTGCCAGACTAAGGAGAACTTTTCCCCAAAAGGAATGTACCATTTTGGTTTTTCTGAGTCAGTTTAATTCTCTGGAGATTCACCAGTGCGTTCCTTTTTATTGCTGAATAGTAGTCCAACTTATGGATGTACTGTAGGTTTTTTAGTCATTTGCTCATTGAAGAACATTTGGATTATGTCTAATTTGGGGCTGTTATGTATAAAGATGCTACAAATATTTGTGTACAAGTTTTTGTATGAACACAGAACTTCATTTCTCTAGGATATGTGCCCAGGAGTGAATTTGTTGGGTCTTATGATAGTTGCATATTTCATTTTTTAAGAAACTGCAAAAACGTTTTCTCTAATGACTGTGCTGTATTACATTCCCACCAGCAACGTAGGAGTGATCCAGGTTCTCCACATCCTCAGCAGCATCTTCATTTTTTTCTGTTGAATCCATTCTGATAAGTGTGTAGTGATACCTCTTTGTGGTTTTTATTTGCAGTTATTTTCTAATGGATAATGATATTGAATATATTTTCATGTGCTTATTTGACATCTGTATGTTTTCCTTGGTAAAATACCTTCTTCATGTCTTTTGCCCATTGTTTTAATTGGATTGTTTGGGTTTTTCTACTATTGATTTTGAGAGTCATTTACACATTCTAAATACTAGTACTTTGTCAGATATGTGGTTTGCAAATAATTTTTACTTGCCTGTAGTGTGTCTTTTTATCCTTTTATAGTCCATGATTCATTTTGAGTTCATCTTGTATGAAGTGTGAAACTTAGTTTGGAGTTCACTTTGACTTAAAGTGGGGGGAAGATGTTAATTTTTAAGTCACTTTCCTAATAGTTACAGGGCTGTTCACATCATCTGTTTCATATTCAGTGAGTTGTGGTAGTAGTGTTTTTTAATCAAGTGGTCCATCATTTCATCTAAGTTACCACATTTATGTGAATAGAGTTGTTTATAGTATTCCCTTACCATCATGTTGATGTCTGTAGGGTCTATAGGAATATTCTGTTTTGTTTCTGATATTGGTAATTTGTGTCTTTTTTAGTTATTTTTGTTCATTTTTTGGGGTTTTTGGTCAGTCTTGCTAGGTTTGTCAGTTTTACTGATCTAATCAAAGAACAGCTTTGTGTTTCATTGATTTTTCTCCGTTGCTTATCTGTTTCAATCACAGCGCCTTCTGTTCTTATCTTTGTTATTATCTTTGTCCTGCTTACTTTAGATTTATTTTTCTGCTCTTTTTTTAGTTATGTAAAGTGGAAGCTTTAATTGTTAATACAGGACTTTCCCCCCCGTTTTATGTATGCTTTTAGTGCTATAAATTTCCTCCTCACCCCTGCTTTATTGATGTCCCACAAATTTTGATATATGGAACTTTCAGTTTCATTCCCTTCCATTTTTTTTCTTTTGAGACTTTCTGTGACCCATGAATAATTTAGAAGTGTGTTGCTTAGTTTCCAGTCTTCCAAGATTGGAGACTTTTCCTATCTTTCTGTTATTGCTTTCTACTTTGAATCCACTTTAGTTGGGAGAATGATTTCACTTCTTTTGATTTCATTTCTTTTAAATGTGTTAAATGATTTCACTTCTTTTAAATGTGTTGAGGTTTGTTTTATGGCCCAGTATATGGTCTGTCTTGGCTTATGACCCATGGGCACTTGAAAAGAATGTATATTCTCCTGTTTTGTGTGGACTAGTTTATAAATGTCCATTAGAGTCTGTTGGTTGATAATGGTGTTAAGTTCTTTCCTGATTTTTCTGTCTAGTTGTTATACTGTTGAGAGAAGGTTGTTGACATCTCCAAATGTAATTGTGGATTTCTCTTTTAGATGTTTCTGCTTTACATAGTTTTCAGTGCTTTTGTTTGATGCATTTACATTTAACATTGCTGTAACTTCTTGGTGGATTGACTGTTTTATCATTATATCATGTCCTTCTTTGTTTCTAGTAATTTTCTTTCCTCTCAAGTTCATCTAGTATTAATATAGCCACCTGCTTTCCTTTAATTAATGTTTCCATGATTTTTTTTCCATCCTTTTACTTCAACCTGCCTATATCATTGTATTTGAAGTACGTTTCTTATAGACAGCATATAATTTGGGTCATGATTTTTAATCCAGTCTGCCAATCTCTGTCTTTTTAATTACATAAGTAGACTGTCTGCTTTTAATGTGCTTATTGATATGTTAGGACTTAAATCTACCATTTTATTTTTATTTTGTTTTCTCTATTTTCTTTTTCCTGCCTTTTTGTGGGTTACTTGTATATTTTTTAGAATTCTGTTTTGTCTGTAGCATTTTTTAGTGTATCTCTTTTTTAGTGGTTGCTCTAGGTATACATTATATGTACATAACTTCTCATGGTCCTGGGGTCATCATTTTACCATTGCAAGTGAACTATAGAAACCTTATCTCCCTTTATGTTTCTTTGCTTTCCCCCAGTTGTCTTAAATATTTCCTCTACATACATTTAGAACCAAATCAGATAATGTTTGAATTTTTGCATCAGTCATCAAACATAATTTAGAAGACTTAAGATATGAAGGAAATCTTGTTTTATTTATATTTTTTTCCTAATCCTCCAAGGTTCCTTCTTTTATCATTTCCTTTCTGTTTTGGTAACTTCCTTCAGCCATTTTTTTAGGGTAGGTCTGTTGGATATGAATTCTCTGAGTTTTGTTTCATCTGAGAATGTCTGAATATTCCTGAAGGATATTTTCATTTGAGTATAGGATTCTGGAATGACACTTGTTTTCTTTGAGTACTTGAAAAATGCTTCCTTTTAGCCTCCGTGGTTTCTAATGAGAAATCTGTCATTCTAATTGTATTTTCCTTATAGATAATGTGTCATTTTCTCTGGCTGATTTCAAGGTTTTTTTGTCTTTAGTTTTCACAAGTTTGATTATAATGCATCTTGATGTGGATTCGTTTCTGTTTACCCTTTTTGAGGTTTGCTCTTTTTTTTTTTTTTAAGTCTATATAGGTTTAGTCTCACCAAATTTAGGAAGTTTTTACCCATTGTTTCTTTAGGTACTTCTTCAGCCCTTCCTTTTTCTCCTTTCCTTCTGAGACTTTGATAACACAAATGTCAGATCTTTTGTTATAATTACACGGGTCCCTGAAGCTCTGTTCTTTTTTTTTAGTCCATTTTCTCTCATAATTCCTAATTGTCTGTATTTGTTTACTGATTATTTCCTGTCTCCTCTGTTCTGCTATTGAGCCCATGCAGTGAGCTTTTTATTTCAGTTACTATATTTTTCAGTTCTGACATTTCCATTTTGTTCTTCTTTAGCTTCTATTTCTTTGCTGTGGCTGTTTTTTCAGTTGTTTCAAGCATGTTCATAATTGCTCATTGAACAAGCATTTTTATGATGGCTTTGTCAGGTAATTTCAACATCTCTCTCATCTTGGTGTTGGCATCTGTTTATTGTTTTGTTTGTGTTTTCATTTGATTTGAGAAATTTCTGATTCTTGGTATGAAGAGTGGCTGTAGATTGAAACCTGGACCATTTGGGTATTAATGTTCTGAGACTGGATCTTACCTAAACCTTCTGTTTTAACTGGCTTTCTCTGACTGCTCTGGCAGAGGCAGAGGAAGGGGTTGTGCCACCTTTTTATTGCCAGGTGGAGTTAGAAGTGCTGGTTTCCTGCTGTCCTCTGTTGACTCGCAAGGGCAGGGAGGCTCCTCATTACTGCTGGGTAGGGCTGGGAGTTCTGGTTCCCATGTTGTCTTTGCTGACACCACTGGGCAGTGGTAGAAGTCCTGACTGTCCACTCGGCCTCCTCTGTCACCACCTCAGTGGCAAAGGGAGGGGAGAGTTGGCTCCTTAGTGCCTGGCCAGGAAGGGCGTTCATTACTGACTGTCTGGAATGAAAGGCTCAGCTCCCTGCTTAGCCCTCCCTGATAGCACCATCGCCAGCATGCTGGGATGTCTGGTTACAGCCTTGCAAGGGTGGAAGTCTTGGCTCCCACTTTGGCCTTTGTTGGCATGGGTGGATATGGCACCCCAGTTCTTACCGTGGTGTTGGCCTGGAGCCTTTGTCTTGCTGGGCTGCCCCTTTCCTGCACCTTTGGCAAGAGATAGCTGGCTTTTGTCGAGGCTTTATTTGTGCACATTGGTGTTTCTGAGTGGATGTGTGTGGCAAAAAGAAAACCCAGGAATCTTACTATCATGCCTTTCCTCAGACCCCAGTCTCCCTCCAGTCTGTCACCTTCTCTGCCTTTCAGAGTCATCTTCTTTGTTTTTGTATACTGCCTAGAGTTTTTAGTTTTGCTTGGCAGGAAGAATAAGGAAAAGATCTACTCCATCTTCCCAAAAGTGTAAGTCTCCAGGTGTTTTGTTTGTTTGTTTAAATGAGATTTATATTTCCCAATTAGGGAAAATCTTGGGCTCCACTAAGTGTAGAGACTGAAATGGGATCAGAAAGTCATTTGTAGAAATTTTCACTGTAAAGCCACAGATTGGTACTAATCTCACAAAAACCAAACTCATTGGTCATAACCACTAATCCTAGAAGAGCATTACAGTCTACTTATTGATAGGATAAATTACTTATAAAGGATTGAGATGGGATAAGCATTTGGACTTGGGTTAGTGAGTCTCAGAGCAGGTCACAGCATTGGTATATTTCACTGTTGAGAAGGCTAAACACTGACTTGTGCAGCCTGGCAGATGCTGCTGAGCACTTGCCACGTGCTGGGCGCTGTGCAAGGCACTGGGGCTGGAGAGATCAGTAAGGCCTTATCCCTGCCCTTAGGTGCTTAGGCTGTATGACGAATAGAGCCAAGGGGGTCCATGCCGGGAGCCTGGAAAGGGGCAATCTCAGGGAGAATGTCGCAGAAGAGCTTCATGTCCAGAGACAGACCCGAATGATTGCATGACCTCAGTAGGTGAGGAGTCTGTGTGGAGATCGTGGGAGCAGGCAAGCAGGGTGACCAGCCTCAGGGATGCTTCATCCGGGCAGTGGTGTGAACCCGACGAACCTGGCTGCTCTACCAAGATTCCTTCTCTGCCACCAGGTTCACCTTGGGCATATTTCTCACTTGGTCACTTCAAGGGAAACACACTTCCGAGTTTTTCTAAACCGCTTCTCCATTCAGCTTGTACCATCTTTATTTAGATGGGTTAATTTTTATTACTGATTATGCACCAGTTAAGTTGTGGTTCCCGTACAGCTGGGAGACATCCTGCCTTCCCCACTGTTCATTGAGTTCATTAATTCATCTTTGAGAGGACAGTCTCCCTCTGAATTCTGTTTTTTTAATTGGCAAATAATAATTATATATGTTATACAATGATTGCCCCTGATAGGTCAAGGGTGGAGCATATGGAAGAGTTAGGGATAGGCTGGAGCAGACACTGGTAAGGTAGGTGAATCCAAATTTGAACTTTATCCTGTAGAAAATGAGTGACAGGATAACATTTCTAAGCTTTAAAAATGTTTCAAAGGGAAGTCAGGGCTACTGACAGTGTAGAAAACGGAGTGGGGTGGGAGAGTGGGGCAGGAAGAGATGCTCATCAGGGAGACAAGGCCATTACGGGTGGCCAGGCAACACTTGAGGAAGCCCTGGGCTCAGGGAGTGGCAGTGGAGGTGCATGAGAAAGGCATTTGAGGTTTTAGAAGTAGAATCCATTCCTACCGATTGATTGATGGTAAAATTGCATTGTTTAGATCATTTCTTCCAGGTGACTCAGAATTCCCCCAATTCTGTTCTGAATGACAGCACCTATCCACCAGAGATTCCCAGGGGACAGAGAAATAGGAAATGAGGCCCTGCATTTTTGCCAGCAATTCCCCAACACAGGTCTCTGATAAACCTGGATAGAATTTATACCTAAAAGCCAGGGTATTCTTTTGTTTTTGTTTTTGTTTTTTTTTGTTTGTTTGTTTTTTGTTTGTTTTGTTTTTGTTTTTTTGGAGAAAAGGTCTCACTCTGTAACCCAGGATGGAGTGCAGTGGTGCAATCATAACTCACTATAACCTCAAACTCCTGGGCTCAAGAGATCCTCCTGCCTCAGCCTTCTGAGTAGCTAGAACTACAGGTGTGTGCCACCACACCCAGCTAGTTTTATTTTAAAATTTTTTGTAGAGATGAAGTCTCACTATTTTACCCAGGCTGGTCTGGAACACCTGGCCTCAAGTGATCCTCCTGCTTTGGCTTCCCAAACCTTTGGGGATTACAGGCCACTGCTGCGCCCAGCCCTGGGATTCCTAAATTGACCATACATTATTACTGTCACCTGGAGGTCTTGTTAAATAGATTGCTGTGCCTACCCGCAGAGTTCTGGTTCTGTAGGTCTGGAATGGGGCCATAGAATTTGCATTTCTAACAAGGTCCCAGGTGATGCGGACTCTGGGGCAACAGGGGACACTTTGAGAACTACTGACCTAACAAAAGATTTGGAAGAGTCTCTCCTTTCTCTGAAGGCCAGTTTTTCTACTGGAACCCAGCCCTAAGGAAGAGACAAGACCCTTAGGAACACGCTTGCCCTGAGAGTCAGCTTACTGCTTCAGCCCACCCAGGGGCAAGCGGGAGGCAGAGGCCACTCCCTGTGGGGACAGAGACTGCCTGCAGCTAGACGTCGGCCATCCAGTCTTATCAGTCAGGTTAGGGAAGGCATCCAGTATTATCAGTCAGGTTAGGGAAGGCACATTGTCTCCCCTCCCACTAACATTTGAACTTTTGGGTATCCAAACAGCAGAAGAAATCATACATGGCCCTGAAGTAGCTCCTAGCCTGGGTGGTTGGATTGATGTTGATACCATGGACCAGTGGCTCTCAGCCTGGGTGCACAGTAGAATCCCTAGGTTCTATCCAGAACTGTTGAGTCAGAATCTCTCTGAGGGGTGGGGCCTAGACCCTGAGGGGTCGGGCCCAGACTGCAGTATTTTCTTTTTAACATTCCATGTGTTATTCTGAAGTGTGTCTGGTTAAGAACCATAATCACAAACTTGAGAATCCACACGATGTTTTTGGGATAGTTAACTCAGTTTTGGACATTTGGGACTTGGATTGTTGATGTTAATGAAATTGAGCCCTAGGGAGAATGTAAAGGAAAAAGAGAAAAAGCTCCAAGGGCAGATCTCTAGGGAATACCAGCAAAGATAGAGTCAGCAAAGAAGTTGTCAGAAGAAGGGGTTCATGGTGGGGCCTGGCAGGAGCTACATTCTACAGTGTCCAGTGGAACGGGAAGGTCATGTAGAATGAGGAATGATAGGCATCATGGGCTTCAACAGGTTAGAGATTCTTGTCAGCCTTTCCAAAATCACTTTTGTTAAGGTGCTAGGGACAGAAGTCGAAGGACTGCATATTGAGTTAATAAGGTGATGATTTTAAGATAAAAAGGGTAAATTACTCTTCCATGCAATAATTTTTTTTTTTTTTTGAGATGAAGTCTTGCTCTGTCACCCAGGCTGGAGTGCAGTGGCACGATCTCAGCCCACTGCAACCTCCACCTCCTGAGTTCAAGCGATTCTCCTGCCTCAGCCTCCCAAGTAACTGGGATTACAGGCACATGCCACCATGCCCAGCTAATTTTTATATTTTTAGTAGAGATGAGGTTTCATCATATTGGCCAGGCTGGTCTCAAACTCCTGACCTCAAGTGATCCGCCCTCCTCGGCCTCCCAAAGTGCTGGGATTACAGGCCTGAGCCGAATTAATCTTTTGTTACTGAAGTTTTCAACTTAACTATTGTTATGTTAGGTATTTTTTGTCTACTCATAGCTTCACTTTTTGAGTTTAGTTTTTGAAAATTCATTTCCAGCCATTTCATATTTATTATGGAAGTTTCAGGTTATTGTAAATATAGATTATTTATACAGATTTACTGCCCCTCACCCAATGAACCTAAGCATGATAAAATTGTATAATTGCAGGTGAGAAGTTTATTATATGGGGAACTGATCTTGACTGTATGGGAAATTTTGAAGTATTCTCAGCCTGGGCTGTTGAACTCTCAGAATGTAAGAAATCCCAGAGCTCATGGAGCAAAGCAGGACACTCCCCTTCCTGTCTACCATGATGGGGAGAAGCTCTGGCTCTTCGATGTAGGTCAGGGGCCTGTTTTTTGTTGGTTTGGTTTGGTTTGGTTTGGCTTGGTTTGGCTTGGTTTGGTTTTTTGAGGCAGGGTCTTGCTCTGTTGTCCAAGCTGGGGCACAGTGGCACGATTATAATTAAACAAACTAGTCAGTCCTATGCTTGAAACGAGATGCCCCTTCAATTTTTGAGACTTACTATCCAAGTTATGGTTTCAGATCTAACACTTCTTGTAATCAGTGTGCAATAAATGATGAAATGACATTCCTGGAAATCACTAAGCGATTTACTTACTCTTTTTCTAGCTCAGGCTCAGCAGACTTTTTCTGTAAAGGGCCAGGTAGTAAATGTTTGAGGCTTTATGGGCCACAGACTATCTCTGTTGCCTCTTCTTATTTGTGTCTTTTTTTCGACCACTTCAAAAATGTAAAAATCATTCTTAGCTCACAAGCCATAAAAAACAGACTGCAGGCCAGATTTGGCCCATGGGCCATAGTTTGCCAACCCGTTTTAAACACTGAGGTTCGAGTCTCCCATTAATGGTGGCATTCTCTGGGATAACGCCTAAAACATTGGAGTTTTAATTAAGTTGTATTAAGTCACCATTATCGAAAAGATGTATTAGAAATTATGACCCGTACAGACTGGGTTAAAATGTGGCTTGTGTGTCTTCTGCAGCTTGCACCTGCCTGCCCGCCCAGGTGATTTTGCAGGCACAATCTGAGGTGCTAGAACCTGGGGCTTTCTCTGCCTCTGTCTAGTCCTGCTGGATTGTAAGCTCCATGAGGGCAGGAGCTTGCTTGTTGTTTGCTACTATGTTCCCAGCACACAGAACACTGCTGGGAAATATGTTCGGGGCTGGTTCTCATTTGTCTTGATAGCATCCAGATTTTTCCAAGTAGTTGGCTTTCCGTATGTCCATTTTACTCTCTGTCCATATATATACACAACATTACATAGTACTCATGCACCAGTTACCATTCCCAGGGATTATGTAATTCCTCAGTACAGCCCTGTGTGGTCTTGTGTCTCCATCTTACAGATGAGAGGCCATGATCAGGCAGCTAGTTTGTAGAAAGCTGCCAGGGTTTGCACCCAGCCATTATGGCTACACTGCTGGGACTCTTAGCGCCCCTAAAGGGAAGCACTTGAGTGGCTCGTTGTTTATGTCACCATCAGGCTTCCATCTCCCAGCAGATGTCAGAGGATCTCTGGTTTTCACTTCTGTAACTTTTCAAAGCTCTATCACCCTTTGGAGAATATAAGAACATTCTGAGACAGACATACAGATTTGTCAAAACTGCCGAGTTTGTCCAAACTCACTGAACTGTACCCTTAAAATGGGTGTGTTCTATTATATATAAGTTGTATCTCAGTAAAGTTGATTTTTAAAATTGTTCTCATCACAAAGTCAAATGGATTTGGAAAGCTTTAATTAGAGAAGAAAAAAAGAAACCTTTTTTAATCAGAAGAGTCCAGCCTCTTCCAACAAAAGTTGTAATTGCTTTGTTTTCCAAGCTAGCTATTTAAAAATCAGGAGTTCTGGCCAGGCATGGTGGCTCACGCCTGTAATCCCAGCACTTTGGGAGGCCCGAGGCAGGCAGATCACGAGGTCAGGAGATTGAGACCATCCTGGCTAACACGACGAAACCCCGTCTCTACTAAAAAATACAAAAAATTAGCTGGGCATGGTGGCGGGCGCCTGTAGTCCCAGCTACTCAGGAGGCTGAGGCAGGAGAATGGTGTGAACCCGGGAGGCGGAGCTTGCAGTGAGCCAAGATCTCGCCACTGCACTCCAGCCTGGGTGACAGAGCAAGACTCCATCTCAAAAAAAAAAGAAACAAAAACAAGAGTTCTTTTACTTTAATTTTTATCCTCAGGGAAAGGAAAACCTCTTCAGCGCAAGGTGAAACCACCTAAGAAGCAAGAGGAAAAGGAGAAGAAGGGAAAGGGAAAGCCACAGGAAGATGAGCTGAAGGACTCTTTGGCTGATGATGATAGCTCCTCCACCACCACAGAGACCTCCAACCCTGACACAGAACCGCTCCTCAAGGAGGTACGGGCTGATCTCACACAACAAAACACGAGGGAGAAAGAGAGGTCTCCTGCAGCTCACAAGACCTTCCATCTCATAGATTCTGGTTTTAGTACAAAAGTAATGTTTAAATCTAGGATGAGCACCTACTGAGGAATGGTTCCTGTGCTGGGCGTGCCTCCAGAGTCATTCCCCTGCAGACAACAGTCACAGCTGTGGGGATGAATGGCTCCATGTCCTCCAGGGAAGAACAGCTGGAAGCATGTTACTAAAGTAAGATGGTTAGAAACTGGAAACACTGCTTGAAAGCTAGGGACTATCTGGAATAGTAACTATTCTACCTCATGAAACTTCTTTCAGATTTTAAGGATCAAAAGAATGAGAAGGAACTCTACCATTTTAATTAGGTTGTGTTTTTCCTGTCATGTTGCTCCTAGCACCTGCTGGAAGCGGGGTTTTGGTGGCCGCTTACTCCCAAGCAGTAGAGTGGTGACCGCCCTGGAGGGAGTGTGGCCCCAGGAAAGACCCCAGGCTTTAGTGGCCCCCAGGGACGAGGAGCCCAGCCCAGGACACATCAGCACGCCAAGAAGCTGCCTCGCCCGTTGGAGGCCTCGGCTCCCAGGGCTGTTATCACAGCAGGAAGAGCAGTGCAAAGTGTCGGGTCCAGTGGGCCTTAGTGACGGGGTCAGATTACTGCTGTGAGTAGTATGGGGTGTGCAAGAAAGGGTAATAATTCCACTCTGGCGCTTTTATTTTTAGATAAATGGATTTCAAATCTAAACTGATCCTAATATAGCCTTTAATGTTGTAGAACAGACTTTCTTTTTTAGTTTTAGTCTATTGACCAAGGAATCACTTCTTACAGATTTCCAGCAGTGTCATTCACATGCATTAAAATGTTTAAAATGAAATGTATATGTAACTTACTTTCAAGTTAGCCACCTTTCCCTTTGCATTCCCTCACCGTTACCGTGGTCCTCCATCTACCCCTAGCCCAACTCCTAAATAGTTCTGGAGCTCTGTAGTTTATAGCACTTTAACAAATTACTTCAGAGAAACAGAAAGCCCTGTGCTAAACTTTGAGTAAAATCCCAGCAGTTTAAACCCTGTGCATCAGCGTTCGGAAGGCATTTTCTGCACGACTTTCTCCCACTTCCCTTCCCACCTGCCAGCCTCTTCCTGCTCACACCACTGTGGCCCCCTCTCCAGCGGCCCCCAGTGGCCAGTGTTCTGTGCTCACCCACTGATGTCATTCTTAGCTCCCTGTTCATTCCCTCCTGTGTTCCCAGCTTCTTCCGTGCTATTTGTGCAGCTCAGAACTCACATCCTTCATGAGGCCTCCTTGTCTGGTTACTACCCTGTCCCCTCCAACGAGTTATTCCTCCTGCTCAGCAATCTGCATAGAGGCCGTGTGCTTTTATTTCTCTGCAACTGATCTCAGTTTGTCAGTTAATGTGTATTTTCTTCCCAGCTAAATCACAACTTTGATAGGTCATTTTCTCTTGCATGTCTTCTCCAATTCTGTTCTACCCATTCAGTCAACACATAGGAATTGAGCACCCACGTGCCAGGCCACGTGCTAGGTGCGTAGGCAACAACAGTGGACAAAAGGCCACATCCTTGTCCTCGAAAAGCTCATGGTTTACAAGATACCTGATGGGTCAAGTATTCAAGAAAGACTTCATGAATAACTCAAAGTAGTTTCAAACGATATGTGAGCCAGGGAGATGTTTTAGCCCTAGCTCTGGTTATTTACTCTTGACAGTTAAATAGATTCACCTGGTGTGACCTATTAAAATCCAGGCTGTCTTCATAATCATAAATTTTAAAGCTCTTGGGTAGATGCTAATTCACCACATGCCTATAGCTCCCCTCCACAGCCATCACTGTCCCCTTTGCTGAGTACGTCCTTCCCCATCTGTCCCTGCCAGTGCTTCCGTAAACACAGTATTTCACAGATTGTCTGGGGCAAAGAACCAGGTTGCTTTTAGTACACAGCCCACTCCACATGCAGCTCCCCAGGCGAGTTCAGCAATACCTGAGTGCAGCCTGGGCAACATGGTGAAACCCCATTTCTACAAAAAAATACAAGAATTAGCTGGGTGTGGTGGCATGTGCCTGTAGTCCTAGCTACTCAGGAGGCTGAGGTGAGAGGATCACTTGAGCCCAGGGGTGACAGAGTGAGTACCTTGTCTCAAAAAAAAAAAAACCACACATAATACATGAGTAGATGTGTACCCTGTTGGGGAGACAGGTCCACTGATCTCACACTCAGATGCTGCAATGAAGTCAGATTGCCACAGAAATCCGTGGGGCAGGTTCTGTACTTTCCTGGTCCTGGCTGGGCCAGCTGGGTAGCACAGCTTTAAGATGCGTCTTGGATGTGGCCGCCCACTCCAGATTCCACATTTTAGCGGGCAGGACAGCCCTTCTGTGCTGCTGCAGTGGCCAGTAACATTCCCCCAGCAGAGGTCCATGCTGGCGTCTGTCGTGTGTCTCCCTCCTGCTAGACTTCACCATCCTTAGGAGGAGAAACTGGGCCCTCTTGGTAATCCTATGGCCTGGCACCAAGCGGGTGACCCGTAAATGTGTGTGGATGAACTGGACAAACAGCCCCTCCCATTGATGGAGCAGCTGTTAGCTTAGCATTAAACCAGCCGGAACCCTGCCGCAATCGCAGGCAGGCGAGCATGGCCCCTTTGGCTGCCGCACTGCTCTCTTGTCCTGAGAGTTGTGCTCAGGATGGGGTGCATGGCTGGAGTGCTTGACTTTATACTGCAGTCTCTACTGAACTTTTCTTTTAAGGAAATACAGTGTTTTACTCCCCAGTGCTTGAAAAGAAGCTACCAATTTGCTACTGCCACTGCCACCACCATCTCCAGTCAGGATATGAGTATAAATTAAAATGACGTTCTTTATAACTCCAACTCACCAAAACGTAGTCGAGACAAATTTTACTTTATTTTTTGAGATGGCGTCTCGCTCTGTCGCCCAGGCTGAGTTTAGTGGCATGATCTCAGCTCACTGCAACCCCTGCCTCCCCAGTTCAAGCGATTCTCATGCCTCAGCCTCCCAAGTAGCTGGGATTACAGGCATGCGCCACCACGCCCAGCTAGTTTTTTGTATTTTTAGTAGAGACAGGGTTTTACCATGTTGCCCAGACTAGTCTTGAACTTCTGAGCTCAGGCAATCCACCTGCCTCGGCTTCCCAGAGTGCTGGGATTACAGGCATGCGCCACCGCACACAGCTGAGACAAATTAAAGAAGGCCAAAAAATTGACAGAACCGCAGTGAAGACAGATTTGAAGAAACGAGTTTGTTTTTACGTATATGATGTGTATATTTTTACATCTTTGATTTTGTGTCTGTATCTTAAAATGGAACTAATTTCAGTCATTTTATTAATCCTTCTCAGCAATTAAGTGTCCATTTTTTACAGGATACAGAAAAGCAAAAGGGAAAACAAGCCATGCCTGAAAAACATGAAAGTGAAATGTCTCAAGTGAAGCAAAAAAGCAAAAAACTCTTAAATATTAAGAAAGAAATCCCAACAGATGTGAAACCCAGGTGAGAGAAATAAGTGTACAGAGAAATAAGGTCTATAAAGAAGTTGCTGGCGAAAACCAGGTGCTGTTTTGATTTGGCCATTTGGCTGGCTGGTTGGCTTTTAGGGGAGTTGATAGCAAAATCCAGGTGCTACGTCACATTCCTCTTGGGATTTTTCTGTCACCTGATATGTACTGTTGTTGACTCGGAATAGCCATATGCTTCTCAAGTCAGATATGCAGAGGGCAGAGCTCACGATCTGTTATAAAAATTTAGGAGGAAAATTTCTGTTGGTGATTCAGTCCCAGGCTGAGATCCATTTTACTTCTGCACAAAGATGACCTTGACGATTGAACCACAGGTACAAGCATAACTTTCCTCCAAAAGATCTCTGAGTCTGTCGAATTGTTAACCCAGTTGGGATCTAGAGTTCCATGCCATAAAACTTGGAAAAGTTTATTCTTACCTTAAAAATGGTTCAGAGCAGGTGTCACCAGTCAGACGGTTCTACCATTAAATAACTCCAGTTCCTCCCCATGGAATGGGATTCAGTGGCCCCCGGGGAGGGCTTGTGCAGGCTGTTTCCCCAGGGAGATGAGTGAGTTGAACTGTTGGGTTATTAACTGAAGTTACTTCACATTTTCATTAAACCTTGGCTCAGCATCTACCTGATAATTTTAGTGTTGGTGCATCAGTAATACCTTTCCTGGTTCATTGTATAGAACTGTCATCAGCACGGGAGCTGCTGTCTACCCGCTTGTGGGTTGTGATCAGTAGAAAGTGACAGAGGAAGTCGAATAAATTAGGTGTAAATTTAAAAGGAAGACATGGCTTGTCTGTCATCATAAGTGTGGGCCATAGATTTGTGGAAGGTCTATTCTTACTCTGATCCTGGGAATCATACTTGAGTTTTGCAAAAACACCACTAACCTAGACTCTGTCCCTAGATTATATGGCTTCAGGCAGGGCCAGTCCTGTTCTATAGAACCCAAAAGCTAGTAAGAAATTAGTGATAACTGCAGTAAAATTTAACCTTGTCCCTGAATTTATGAAATAATACAGTATATGGTGGTGCTTAGTAATGAAGTATTTGTACCTAAAATTTACTCTTTTGTGGCAATTGTTAGTTCAAGTGACCAGGTCCCACAATTTGTTGAGAGCAGTCTGGCCCAGGTAGAAGGAACGTCAAGCAGAGTGGTATCAGGTGGTTGATCATTTGAAGGGGAGAGAGAAAAGGAGACCACCTCTTCTGAAGAGGAGGTTCACATACTTGGATCTCTCCTGAGAGAAATCCACCTGAGACACCAATATCCTGGCACCCAGGACAGGAATAACACTGGGCTACTAGCTAGAGATTCTTCTTCTTGGCCTTTTTCAGGCTTAGGTGAGTGATCAGATATTTTAAAGTAAATGAGGCTAATAAGTCCAAATAATGAAAATCCTCATTTTTACATTTGCAGAAATCTTGTGAGGTAGACAGACATGCAGTAATTCCTATGATGATAAATTTTAAAACCAGTGCATCTAAGAATTATCTTAGAGGTACCATTCCATAGGTGACTGTCACCAAATTGGCCCTGTTGATTAGCCCTCAGGCCTGAGCTTAGTATTGTTAAGCAGATAGAACACACTAATCCTAACCCCCATCCCTGTTCCACTGACTTACATTGTATTCTGATTTTTTTTACAAGTTGACCATCAGCAAATTTGCATTTGAAAAGTTAGTCAAAGACGTCGCTTGAGTGTCATTACCTTTGCAAGGGTTTTTAGTTCTCTTGTAAACCAAAAAGCTTAGAGTGGTCAGTCCTGAACCGCCTAGTCAAGGGGCAGTTATAGCAATAACCGGTGCTCTCTCAATATGTAGTTAAAAGATAAATCATTACCAGAACACAAATCAAGCCGTGTGCTTGAAACTGTCTTTTGTAACTGGAGAAATCTATATGCAACCTTTCTTCTATCCTCCTTTATCTGATCTCTTTAAACTCACTGATCTCTTGTTTTTCTGAACTCGAGGATGAAAGTATTGAGTCAGAATTTATTAGTTCATCAATCATTTAATCAAATAAAGACTGGTTTTTTTAATAACCGGAGAAGGTTGGCTTTCTGAACAGAGCCATTCTGTGACTCCACTGCATTCTGATAATAAATGTCAAACACTGTCACTCAGAATCACAGCCAGTACTAGCTTTAGTGATTCCTGAAATTCCTGTCACCTTTTAGTGTGTTAATATATAACCCCACATGTCTGAAGGACAGGTACACATCTTTTAATAAGATATGTCATTAATAAGGCATATATCATTGCTGTCTTTCGGAAGCTTTGTGAGAGGTGATAAAGCCAGAGGAGTGGCTCAGCCCCATCCATCCACACTCCCAAGAGTTGACCTCAAAAAAATCACTTGCTAGGAAATAGGAGGGTGGGGCTGCAGCAACAGAAATCTGATCTAACCGTGTTTTCCAGCTGTGGCAACATAGAAATGGGCCTGCAGACCTCCGGAAAACTGTAGTCTATGGCAGAGATGCCAAGGAATGGGAATCAGATCTCAGGCACTGAAGGTTTCTGCAGAACCAGGAAGGGCCCAGGGCATCCCTGGTTTAGGACCCTGAGTATTCACTGATCCTTTTGTTTTTCTATTTGTTTATCAACAGTATATGTTTACATAAATGTAATAATCTAAAATAAGCAAAAGAAGTAGATTAATCATATTATCTGTAAAAATCTGCTTAAATAACACTCTCAACTCAGGCCCAAGGGCTGTGAACACCACACTGCACACGCCAGCCCCAGACCTGTCAGCACTCAGAAAACCCTGCTCCACAGCTGGTCATGTCCCTAGCTGTGTCCTCAGCTCTGCCTCTCTCCTCCCCAGACAGAAATGTGTACTGTGTATTACAGGAATAAAAATAGGCCAGGCTTGAGTCAGGTGTAACGTTGTGAAAAGCAAAAATAAAAAGAATACGAAATCTCAGAATATTAAGAAAAAGAAAAACATTATTATTAAAAAATGGAGGAAAATATATTATAAAAATAAGCCAGGTGTGGTAGCTCACATCTATAATCCCAGCACTTTGGGAGGTCAAGGCAGGAGGATTGCTTGAGCCCAGGAGTTCAAGATCAGCCTGGAAAATATAGCAAGACCTTATCTTACAAAAAGTTTTTCTTTTAAATTAGCCAGGTGTGATGGCACACACCTGTAGTCCCAACTACTAGGGAGGCTGAGGCAGGAGTTAGAGACTGCATAGAGCCCAGGAGTTAGAGACTCAGGAGTTGAGCCCAGGAGTTAGAGACTGCAGAGAGCCGTGATTGCACCACTGCACTCTAGCCTGAGCAACAGACTGAGACCCTGTCAGTAAATAAATAAATAAAGCCTGGCATCTGAACCACCTGTTTTTCCTTTTTAAAAAGAATCACTTCAGTCTGGGCACGGTGGCTCACACCTGTAATCCCACTGTAATCCCAGCACTTTGGGAGGCCAAGGACGGCAGATCACCGGAGGTCAGGACTTCGAGACCAGCCTCACCAACATCGTGAAACCCCATCTCTGTTAAAAATACAAAAATTAACCAAGCATGGTGGCACACACCTGTAATCCCAGCTACTCAGGAGGCTGAGGCAGGAGAATTGCTTGAGCCTGGGAGGCAGAGGTTACAGTGAGCCAAGATCGTGCCACTGCACTCCAGCCTGGGTGACAGAGTGAGACTCTGTCTCAAAAAAATGAATCGCTTCAATTAAGTTGGCCGTTACCCATTTTATTCAGAAGCCTTAAAAAAGGATTCTTGATAGAGATCATCTGGCTTAATTTAGGAAAGTATGAATCAGCAAAAATAACAGGAGTTGTCTGGCACCTTTCTTCTTAAAAACCAATTACTTTTACAGTGGCACAGAATTTAGTTTTGTATAAATAGCTACCCACGCACACTTAAAAATAGATCACACCCACACCACCTCCACCACCAGAGGGCTGGTGTCTACTATGGGAGCCTTTGGGGTTTTTTTAGAAGATGGGTTTTTTAAATAACCCTGTCAGTCAGAAGTAGAAGAGATACAAAAGATTTTATAATGTAGCATTCATCATCTGGCCCATAAACAGTGGATTTTTCACTTCAGTTTGTTATCCTACCTAAAATTCTAGTTATTTGGGCTAACGGAAACCCTTTGGCTTTTTGGTTTGCTCTCTTACTAATTCCAGATATAATACCTACTTATTATTATATAATACCTACTTGTGAAATACAACGAAACAAAAGAAAATGTCCTTTGACCCTACCACCTTATAAAATGTTTGTAAATAGCCTTCTTAAATGTATTTGTTTATTTATGAGCTCACACTTTACATTGAGGATGTTGGGGAATGAGGGTGTTATGGTGCCGTTAGATCGGGAAAGTTGGAACTCTTCTCACCTTTGAAATCTCCTGTGAATGAGCACAGCAGATTGCCTCTGACCCAGAACCTAGCTGAAATGTACTGTATCCTGTGGGCTGGGAGGACAGAAGGCAACATGGTGCGTGAAGAACTTGGAGGATGGGGCCGGGAGTCCTGAGTAGTATCACACACTTGAGGGTTGGGAGCAGAAAGCACACTGAAATGTGGAAAATGCCGGCGATGCATCCATTTTACACCATCTGTGTAGACTTTGTAGATTTGGAATGAAAAGCTAGCCATCAGCTCAGCCCTGAACTGACAGCTGTCACCAGGAGCTCTGTAGAGATCCCTGAGGATTCTTGGAAGATTTCTCCAAAGGGGCCACTGGGCTCTCTGAGCTGCATCTCAGCCTTTGCTGGAAAAGGTCCTTCTTGGACCACATTAGCTGAGCTCCTTCCGGAGGTCCTCCCAGTCCCAGACATGGTCTTGGTGGGCATTAGAGATGTGGCTTCATAAAGAATGCCTTTGTAGCCCATATAGGTATTCTACTCACAATGCTGTCTTCCATGGGCCAGCTACCCAGTTCATTTCTCTCAGAGATTCATTCTTTCCAGCTGCTGTCTCCCAGCAGGTTTTCCTACCTCACTTATTGAGCTTTGGAAACTTAAGATATATTTATACATGCTTATTATCTTAAGCTTACCTCAATATCTTTCAGAAAGCGTCACTCTAAATAAATCAATAAAAAATATATTTAATTTTTTTGCTTAAGATTAACCCTGAGTTCAAGAATAAGGAAGAAAATTCATCCTAGCCCACTCCCTGTAGTAACCAGGAACTTAGCTCTGGGTCACCTCATAATTTCTATGAGAAAAATTTGTTCAGTTTTGAATAGTGGAGTCTCTAATGTTATAGATGTGAGATCTTTCAAAATCTTCATGTTCAGGAATCCCACTGGTGGTGGTCTAGATGCTGGGAGAGACTCACAGGCAGAATGACCGCACTTCCAGCCCTGAGCAGCAAGTTGGAGCTAAGGGCTTTCTTTCTATGCCTTATCTGAGATAGATCCTCCCTCACGTTACGTATTATTAAATAATGGACCTCAGTTCATTGTCAGCACTTGGAATAGCAAAGGTTCAGTCTGCAAGTGCTGAATGTCTGCTGGGCAGTCTTAGCTACAGCGTTGGGCATGCAGCCAGTCCTGAGTTAGGACCAAGGGTAGATAACGCCCCAGGAAGCCACATTAGCTTCCTGCATGCAGTTGTATTGTAGAAGAATTACAATCTTAATGACTTCTGTCCTCCAAAACAGAGGAATAAATTTGTATTTTCCATCCCTGATTGTCTTTCAGTTCATTAGAACTACCATATACTCCCCCTTTGGAAAGTAAGCAACGTAGAAATCTCCCAAGCAAGATTCCTCTTCCAACTGCAATGACAAGTGGATCCAAATCACGAAATGCCCAGAAAACAAAAGGTATTGTCATCTTGTTCTCTATGATCATGTCTTACGGATCTTTTCATAGTGCACCGTATTAACAATTGTTGTGCATTATCAGTAAGCAGTCAGTAGTTATTAGTCATGCAAGGCTAAGGCTGTGTTCTTGTCCTCATTAGAAGGTTCATTGAAATAGACCTGAAAGAAAGGAATGATTCTCCATTAACCATGTTCTTTTCTGATTTTTGTGCAGGTACAAGTAAGTTAGTGGATAACAGACCACCTGCCCTAGCAAAATTCCTCCCGAATAGTCAAGAATTAGGCAACACCAGTAGCTCAGAGGGTGAAAAAGACTCTCCTCCACCGGAGTGGGATTCCGTTCCAGTTCACAAACCTGGCAGCTGTAAGTATAGTAGTTTAGAAACCACAGGGCTCCACTTACCCACAATCCACCCCACTCTGGGCATGGAACTCTTCAGGGGCATGTTGCTTTAAAATACCCATTGACAGTGCTTTGCCAGCTAAGAGCCCATTGTTAACTAGCCTAATCAGTGGCTAAACTGCCGTAGGTTGAAATCAGTCCTGGTAAGATTATTTACATCAGGGGACTCATTCAACAATTCACATCAGGGCTTTTTTTTTTTCAGGGAGCTGGTATACTAGCACACCACTGCCCAATGTGCAAAATGGAATGGTCTGTTTGGAGTGGTTAATCTTCTAAAGAATTGTTTGCCTTATACAAGTATTGACTTAGCTATCCTTTACCTGATGAGTTCCTCATTTATAGTGTAATTGTTTTTGTAAGAATTCCATCCTCTCAACTTTACCCACATCTTTTTACATGAGCAACCTACACAAAGGTTTCATTATTTTTCTCACTACCTTGACCTTGTTTCTCCAGTTTGGCCTGCAGTAAATCAAGACAGTAGGCACAGTCAACCAAAATAGAAATCCTCACCCTACAGACACTTGACCTGAAATAGGGGGCAACAGAGACCAGAAAAGGGAGCAGCTGACAGCAGGGATTTGAGATCAAGAGAGGTCCTGGCTTTAGGACTGATTGGTCCGCACTCACCACTGTGTTGGAGTGTACCAGAGGGCAAGTCAGGAAGACCAGAGATGCAGTCAGGTTTGAGCAACAGTCGGGTCATTGAAGGTGAAAGGAGTTGGACGAAGGGCAGGCTCACTGGGCTGAATGAGGGCAGAGAGCCTTGGAGGCTCGGGTAGGGCGTCCACGCTCTCGCCGGAATGTGTAGATACATCCTGGAAAGAGATGCTCTCTGAGATACATCCTGTAGCCCTATTTGCCATGAGACTTTCTGGCACCTTTTAGTACTACTTTTTGCCAGGGGTGGGATACAATCCTAAATCCTTCACTCAGCAAATCTTGAAGAAGACCGTGGGTGGTCCGTGTGTCCAGGTGGGATGCTTCTGCTTCCTAGCGCCCCCTGAGGTTTCTGCTGGCCATTGGCTCTTGGCTTAACACTCCACGATTTAGGCAGTTCCCCATTAAACAGATGCCACTTTCAGCAACAGAACACAGCCCCTGGAGCCAGTTTCACAGGGGTGTTCTGAGGCCCAGTGAGGTGACATGAGCCGTGTTGGTGACGTAATGACACAAGCATGCAGAACCATGCTGCCGGGAGAGCAGGTGACAGCCAGACACAGCCACAAACTGGCTGGCAGCATCCCCACCTGGTGGCACCTGAGCCACATGTTGACATCACTCCTTCTGTGTGGAGGGGAAAGGATGACAGGACCCAACCCCAGACAGGAGATTTTGGTGCCACTCCTCGGGGCAGGAATGTGGGAAATGGCAGGCCAGCCCTCTGGAGGAGGAACTGTGAAGGGCCCAGTGCCGCATGCCTCAGTTTCCTGCCTGGCTCTTCCACAGAGGCCAGCTGGTGCATCTGAGCATGGCGCCTCAGGGCAGAGCTCCACGGTGGGCACTGGGGGAAGAGATGCAGAGCTTGTCTCCTCAGCCCACGTCTGTGCAGTCCTTTTGTGTTTTTCTAGCCAAGCAGTCCCTTACACTGGTTCCAAGCCCTGTGACCTCTCTGCCCTCACTGCCAGCGTTACTAAAATGTTCCAGCAGAGCTCCACTCGATAGAGAATATGGGTGGAGGAAACCCAGAAGAGTCGGTCCCACATGCTCTCCATCACTTTTACCTTCCTGCTCTGCCCCAGCTTTCTCATCCCCTTTTATCCCTTCGCCTCCCTTGGTGTTTCGTCTTGCTTAGACCTGAAGTTCTGCGAGCGCTGTTGGCAGTGCCAAGCTTAGTGCAGTTCCTTGGGGTGAAAGCGTTGGTCCCACCCAAGACTGTGCAGCCAGCATGTGGCAGTAGCCGCTGGGGGAGTTGTGCAGCCTCTGTGTAAAGATCTCTCCATCCCAAGTAGCACCCCTTAGCATGGTGCCCTATACCATCTGTACCACATGAGTTGCAGAGAAAATGCTCCTTGAATAATTTCATGATTTAAAAAGGCAAAAAATACAAAGGGTTATTAAAAGGAAAAGCAAATCAGAAGCCACAAAGGAAAATTTTAATAATATTTGAATCAAAACGTTCTCTAATTGCAGCTCGTGTACTGTTCAGAGTCTCCCCTTCACTCCTACCTCAAGCACTGTTCAGTAGGGGCTTTTGCTAACTTCCCTTTGCTTTTCCTGTTTCATTTCATCATCACTGTCTTGGGAGCATCTGTAGTTCTGGGCCCTGTGAAACACATTCCACCCACAGGAGCTGCCCGCACCTTTCCCCAGGACAGGCACCTCGGGAGGATCGAGCGCACACAAAACGGAGCACAGCCTGCTCCAAGTGTGGGCACTGCCTGAGGGGACGAGTCACTGCAGGGGCGGAGCGAGGCCAGAGGAAGTGGCTAGGGAAGGGTCAGGACAGTTGTACAAATAGCAAGCCGACAGTGTAGACGTGGTGTCAGATGGGAGGCCTCAGAGGAGCTTGATGGGGACAAAGATTCGAGCAGGGCTCGTATGGGAGAGCGGTGTGAGACACGTCCTGAGTGTGGGCATCAGGTCAGCAGATCCACAGAACCAGCGAGGAGGGGCCCATGTCATCAAGGGGTGAGAGTGGGCGGGTGGGAGACAGGACCGTGAGTCTGGCACCAGTACCAGCAGCACTGGGGAAGGTGAGAGAGAAGGTAGCAGGCAGCCCTGAGGATGGCGGAGTGGAGAGCACGGGCTTCCAAGGGAAGGCTGCTTTGCTCGGCAGGGCCATGCTGGAGGCTTGACCTAGCCAAGACATGGGAAACCTTGAGCCCTGAGCCCTGGGGGTAGGGGAGAAGCAGCTTGTGCTACAGGGTGTGACCAGGGAAGCAAGAGGCAGCAGGCAGAGCGGCTGCAATGTGGCAGTGAGGGGACGGGAGAAGTGGAGCCGGGGGTACTCAGGGTACGCGGAAATCTCACAAGGCAGGAGGGGCCAGCCAGGTAGCGAGCTGGCCAGGCCTGGGCTGGGGATCGTGCCCTGTGGTGATGGGAATTCACAGGTCCAAGCTCTCCCCCACCTTCTTCCTCTTGCAGTAGCTACAGCAGCACCAAGTTGCACACAATAGATGTGCAAAATGATACATTTTTCTGATAAAAGGTATACATATTTCCGTTTACTGAGTAGAGAATGTTATTTTATGACTGAAATTTTTTGTTTTAATTTCAGAGATGGGGTCAGGCTGGAGTGCAATGGTGTGATTATAGCTCACTGCAGCCTCAAACTCCTGGCTCAAGCCTCCCACCTCAGCCTCCCAAAGTGCTGAGGTTACAGGTCCGAGCCACTGTGCCCAGCCTGTTTTAGATTTTTAAAACAGCTGTATAGACATTACTTTAAAGGGCACAGGAATATACTAGGAGCTTAATAGGGATCAGAGCTGCACATCCCAGTCACGCCAATGGAGAGGCTTTACTGAACTTGGGGATTCAGCCCGGAACACTGCACCTCCCACAGCTGTAAACCTGCGTGTAGGCACAAGGATTTTCCAGGTCCCCAGGCAGCGGCCTCAGCTGTCCACCCCTGGAGGATGTGGAAGACCCTCCTCCCCTACCTGAGGTGGGAGAAGTGAAGACATTGACTGTCCGCCACACAACACAGCAGGGACCGGGCACGCTCTTGCTCCCCTCAAATCCCCGAGTGCAGAGAGATGTGGCTGCTTTCTCTTTAAAACCTGTTAAACAGAACACATCTAAGAGCTTTCGTTTGTTTTCTTTGTAGAAGGGCTTGAGTTATGCATAGTCTTAGAGAACATTCAAAGTGATTTGGAAGAGCGCTAATCAAAACACCACACTAACGAGCCCGTTTGTTTTTAATTTCCAGCTACTGATAGTCTTTATAAACTTTCTCTGCAAACCCTCAACGCAGACATTTTCTTAAAACAACGCCAGACCTCACCGACACCTGCTTCCCCGTCTCCCCCAGCTGCCCCCTGCCCCTTTGTGGCCCGGGGCAGCTACAGCAGCATCGTCAACAGCAGCTCCAGCAGGTAGGCCTGCTGCTTCCTTTCCGGTTCTCAGCTTGAAATGTGCCTAAAACCCGATGTCACACCCTTTAAATGGAAACACTTAGCGGCCACAGGCCACTGTCTGGTGTTACTTCTGATGGCTGCCAGCTTGTGTGGACCCTTTTACCTGGGGTCCACCCCCGCTTCCTGCTGCTGTGCCCAGCTCCAACAGTAACCCGGTTCCCATTCTAATCCATTCATTCTTACCACCTGTGGACCGAGAAATGCACCATTTAACTCACTAGAGTGATATTCTCAGTGAGCCAATGAACATTTACTAAGCCTTACATGAAGACCTAAAGGGGATTCCTGTGAGTTGGGAGTATGGGTTTATGTGACACTAATTTTGGCCTTTGGACAATTTGGCTTAGGACTTAGAAGGGCAGGACCTGGTCCAAGACCGTTGTGCTGGGTGAGGTGCTGCAGTAGGGGATGTGTGCACCCGGGAGGGCAGCCTCCTGACCACACAGACAGGATGCAGGAAGCATGCTGTTCTCCGAGGCACGGAGCCTCACTCGTGTCCGCCTGCCACAGTGTACCGCAAGCCTGACAGTCACGGATGGCACTCTCACCGTGTGCCTCGCCGTGGCGTGGGTTTCTGTGCATCGCGTCACCGGCCAGCCTAGGGTCAGGTCCTCCCCGCCGTTGCCCAAGAGGCAGTAACCACTGAGGCTGGGGGAGCCACCCCGCTTCTGGGCCTTGCCACAGGAGCACCTCGCCGTGTCCTGGCAGGGAAGGAGACTCCCTGAGGCCCCGCCCTTTCCGGTGTCGGTGGCTGCCCTCTGCATTTCCTGCCGAGTGGCTCTCTAGCATTCTTCACAAAAGTGTGATCGAAGCCTCTGCCAGTCCCTAAATTGTGATCCCTGCCCTGGTCTCTTTCATAGTGATCTTTTGTTTTCTTACCTTTCTCCAGAAAGCCCTCTATCTCTGTCTGATTAAGCAGTCTGAGGCCCCAGAGCATGTGACATGAGGCTGAGCGATGCTCTGTGAGCTGCCCCGCTGCAGAGAAGCCCACTCAGGGCTCAGTCCTGCCAGCCCCACACCTCCCCGAGACAGGGCACTGCTGATGAGGAATGAGTTCTCTCTTTGCTTCTTTTTCAAGTGACCCTAAAATAAAACAGCCAAATGGAAGCAAACACAAGTTGACAAAGGCAGCCTCGCTCCCGGGCAAGAACGGCAACCCCACTTTTGCTGCAGTCACGGCTGGCTACGACAAGAGCCCAGGTCAGTGCCTTTGCTTCAGAGACCTGCCACGCCAGGCGCCAGGCCTGGTGGAATGACCTCTGTCCTAATGTGCCTTCCATTGATTGAACGTCCATTGTTACAGGTGGGAATGGCTTTGCTAAAGTTTCTTCAAACAAAACAGGTTTCTCCAGCAGCCTTGGCATTTCACACGCTCCTGTTGACAGCGATGGCTCAGACAGGTACGGTAGACCACCACTAACCGCTAGAAAGACGGAAGGCTTCTCAAGTCGGGTTAGCACCTTTTTATCCATAAATGGGTTTCAGGGCATTTTTCCCCTAATTTACAAGGAGGCATTTGTCAGAAGTGGTCAAGTGCCTCTAAGAAATCATGTCTGCTGGGTGGAAGCAGAAAGCCGGCTGCGGTGCCTTCCCCAGGGGGTCCAGATAGAGAAAGGGGGCACCCATGCCTGTCTCAGCCAGGCAGACACACGTTACACCTGTTCTCACTCTCCTCCATCTCCTGGTCTGTGGTAAGATGTGATCTGATCATTAAAAATAGAAGAGCGAAAGTGACTTGGGAGGGGGGAAATCTGGAGCAAATACTAGCCAATTTATAGTAAATCACTGGCCACGCCTCTTTCTTGAGCAGGCTTGTTTATCATGCAGGGGGTGTGGTGGCCTGCAGCAGTCACCTTGGTTGACTTTTCCAGATAAGCAACAATAGAGCCCCAATTTACCTACTTTGCACTAATAGGAAATGAGTTCTAGATTTGAAATAGTTTTTAAATAAATCTTCCAGTACCAAAAAGCAAACAGAAGGAAAAAATGTCTGTTTCTCTGCAAAACACTTGCTTTGAACCTGGCTGTGAGCTAGTGATAGGGCATCCGGAGCTCTGGGGCTCCCTCCGACTCAACCCTTGTGGTAAGCAGCCATTGTTCAGCTCTTCCTTTTGTCTGTTTTTAATATTTGAGTACCCCCAGTTGAAGCAGTGTCTCCTGTTTGTGAAGCTGTGCACTATGGATCCGTTTGCACTAACCACCATACATTTTTGTGTGTTGCGTTTTCCTCTTGTAACATTTAGCTCGGGTTTGTGGAGTCCCGTCAGCAACCCAAGCAGCCCTGACTTCACTCCCCTCAATTCGTTCTCCGCCTTTGGAAACTCTTTTAATCTAACTGGTGGTGAGTGTTTAACACTAGATGTGTAACTAATAAGCCTGTGGACAGAGGAAGGGAGAGGAGGTGTGGTTTTGTGTGCTGGAGAACACAGCACAGCAGCACTGTGGAAGAGGCCCCGCAGGAAGCTCCCTGGGAAGGGTCCCCTCCCCTCTTCCTCCCTCATCCACACCAGCAGCCCAGAGGGGCAGTGGACCAGGCTCGACACGGTGTGCGCACACCAGTTGGTGTGAGTTCCATGGCGGGTATTGAAGGGCTTCACAGAAGGGTTCTGGTCTGAAATGGGACCCCTGAGTGTGCCAGGGGTCCTCTTCTTGCTGTCCAGAACTAGAGGTCACCATGGAAGCTTCCCATTAGCTATCATGTGAGAGTGGGGAAAGTTTGCATTTGGATGTCATTGGTGGCATATCAGCTCGTGCACTATGCGTTTGAGTTCTGGAGGACACTCCTGCCCCTACTTCCTCTGGGCTGTGGTGGGCTGGTGAAGTGGGTGTGGTGGCTCCAGGAGCAGTGGTTGGAGGTATGCCATTGAGTGAAGCCCCATATGCTATAGTGATCATGGCAAAACCAAATATGGACTTGATGACTGTTGCTTTATTTCCAGAAGTTTTCAGCAAACTCGGATTATCTCGATCGTGCAATCAGGCCTCACAGAGGAGCTGGAACGAGTTTAATAGTGGCCCTTCATACCTTTGGGAGTCGCCAGCGACAGATCCCAGTCCTTCCTGGCCAGCCAGTTCCGGCTCCCCGACCCACACAGCCACAGTGAGTACTTGGGGCTGGGGCTGGGGCCTGGACCTGGCCCACCCACTCGCCATCTGCCATTGCTGTGACATGGATGGCACTGACATAGTTATAAACAACAAACAGCAGCATCAGAGGGGTGGGTTAGTACTTTTATTGTCTCCATTGCTTTGTCTTCATATTCTGTCAAAATGACTGATCGATGTTCTTCAGAGCCATTACAATCAGGAAGTTTTAGGAAGAACAACTGAACAGCTATGGGGTTGGTCTCTGGAGTCCCTCCTAATAGCTCAAGGGCATTTTCTGCCTCTTCCCAACCTGTAAATGGACCACAAGGGTGACCATAGGCCTATGGCAGGTTCAGATGGTTGAGGGAAGCCTTCGGCATCTGTGCAATGCAGCCACTGGCCACCCAGGAGCAAGCTAGATACTGCATTTACTTTGTTGCTGAGAAGCACCTGTCTCTTAGGTTAGATTTTCAAGAGTGCATTTGTTTGCTTCTTGGCTAAAGTCTTCTGCAAAGACCATGCTGAAAAGAGTATTCTTGCCAAGGAAAATAATTAGTGGTTTTGGCTTCCACAAAATTATGACAGAAAAATATGACCCCACTGTGTTTGCCTCTTTGTTCTCAGAGAAACTAAACATGCAAGGTTTTATAACAGATATTTCAACTTTACAGATTCCAAAGGTTGTCTTCATGTGTAATTATTCAGCCTTATGTTTTAAAACCACCTTAACCATTCTTTAAAAGAGAAGTCAGCAAACTTTTTTTTTTTTTTTTTGAGACAGAGTCTTGCTCTGTAGCCCAGGCTGGAGTGCAGTGGCACAATCTCGGCTCACTGCAAGCTCCGCCTCCTGGGTTCATGCCATTCTCCTGCCTCAGCCTCCTGAGTAGCTGGGACTAGAGGCGCCCACCACCACACCCGGCTAATTTTTTGTATTTTTAGTAGAGACGGGGTTTCACCATGTTAGCCAGGATGATCTCGATCTCCTGACCTCGTGATCCGCCCACGTCGGCCTCCCAAAGTGGGAGTCAGCAAACTTTCTATAAAGAGTCAGATAGTAACTATTTGAGGCTCTGAAGGCCATGCTTCACCACTGCCATTGCAGTGCACAGGCCGATGGGCGCAGCTGTGTTCCAATACAACTCTCTTTACAAAAGTAGGCAGAGCTGGATTTGGTCCACAAGCTGTCTTTTTTAAAATATCACAACTAGCCGGCATGATGGCTAGTGCCTGTAATCCCAGCACTTTGGGAGGCTGAGGTGGGAAGATCACTTGAGCCCAGGAGTTTGAGGCTGCAGTGAGGCATGATCACACCACTGCACTCCAGCCTGAGTGATGGAGCAAGACCCTGTCTCAAAAAAATCAGAAACATCTGCTCAAATACATATATATAACATTTGTTCTAAAGTAAACAAAGTAAGAGGAATGCGTGCCCCAGCCTCATCTTTTCTGTAGCCTTACCCCCTTACCCACTTGACCCTCTGCCTGCCGGGCTCAGTGCTGGACGCTTTCTGTTTTGTCGCAGTCGGTCCTCGGTAACACCAGCGGCCTGTGGTCCACCACTCCATTCAGCAGCTCCATTTGGTCCAGCAACCTTAGCAGCGCCCTTCCCTTCACCACTCCAGCAAACACGCTGGCAAGCATCGGCCTCATGGGCACAGAAAACTCCCCTGCTCCTCACGCTCCCTCCACCTCCAGTCCAGCTGACGACTTGGGACAGACCTACAACCCGTGGCGGATATGGAGCCCCACGATTGGAAGAAGAAGCTCGGACCCTTGGTCTAATTCGCACTTTCCTCACGAGAATTAAATTAAGCAAAAAACAAACAAACATAGTGGGCCCTCGTCTAGATCATGATGTGCCAGTTTCTGAGACATCTTTTTAAGGCTCTTACTGCAGCTCCCCTCCCCACCCTCCTCTTCTTTGCAAAACAGACCCAAGCAGGGCAGGCTCAGACCACTCGCTTCTTTCAGATCTTTCTTGCAATTATGATAACATGAGATTTGCTGTTGTGCTTTTAGAGAAAAGTCTGGACTCAGCCACAAACTCTAATAAGACCTGTACATCTGAGAACCTTTCCCGTTACTGCGTTTTCACCACCTGTCTTCCCCATGCTTTATTTATCTGTATGAACACAGATTTGACATTACAGCTAAGGAAATAATTTGAGTTGATTCAGAAATCCTGGCATGTGACAATTTTGTTAAATTACCAAGTTTGGTTTTTAATAATTTCTCAATATTATGCGCCAAGATCTAATTTTAAAACTGTATGAGGACTTTGTGCTGAAAATAGAGTATTTTTTTAAAGTAAGGCTGTCTTGGTTTAAAAGCAGATTACAGAAATGTAAGTCAACTTAAGAACGGTGAATGAATGTAAAAACATTCAGTTGAGACCATATGCATTTTCTGTGCTGTTTGTACTTGAGGTATGTAACATTTGTATACCTGAACTTATTTTAAAGATGAACTGAAATGCACATAGCCAAGTCTTGAGATACAAGATTGAATGTGTATTTCTTAAAAATACAACTTTGTGTTGTACTTTGAAATAAATGATGCTTTTTTCAAAAGCCTTGTTTTGTGGTTTTTTTTACACACAAGGTGTATTTATTAGGATTTTCTCACACCAAAGTAAACCACCTTATCCTTGCCTTACTCTGTGGAGCTGACAGGTTAAGACGGGGTTTGCCTTCTCATTGCTGGAACTTCCTGCAGTCTAATGGAGTTCTGTGTGTTCCCATGGCAATCATGGAGGGTCCTTGATCGAAAACAACTTGAAAGCCTGTTTGGATTCATCCAGTAAGCGTTTTCCCTCTGCCACTATCCTAAAAGGCCTCATAAAAAGCAGTAATTGCTACCATTTATTGAATACTGACTCTGTCAGGTACCTGGCTAACACTTTGGGATATGTTGGGTTACTCCATTATACTTGAGGAACCTGGCTGGGCAGTGCTGGCTCAGAGGCCCCAGGTCAGGCTGACCGCAGATTCACATGGCACCCACTGTGCTGCCTTCCTTCTGGTCACAGTCACCATTCTCAGGAACAGTCTGTGTCCAACTCACCACTGCATGTTCTAACACTGGCCAACCTTTACCAGCCTTCAGTCTGAGGAAGTTGTATGGTGAGAGGAAGACAGAAAAGGAGAGAAGCGGGGCACAGAGGGAAGACAGCAGGGGCACAGAGGGAAGACAGCAGGGACTCGGGCAGCCTGGGGGAGGGCTCTGGGGGCCACCTGTGGGAGCTTACCAGCAGCAACACAGCATGCAGTGCCCCTTTGGCCCTTTCATTTCTAAATGATGGCTTGGAGACAAGGGGGGATGCCTTGGGCTATGGCACAGGGGCTGGGGGTACTAGAAACAGCTATTTACCCACTGGTATTAAAATGCTTTAGCAGTTTACCTGCTAATACAGCTATACCCCAAAGCCAGGCTGGATGGAAAGCAACCTGTGTGCTACTGAGGAATGGAGCCACAGGTGGCAGTCACACAGGGTGCCATGTAGAAATACCAGCTGGGGCTGCTGGAAACGGAGCCTTGGTGCAGACTGGAAATGACTTAGCCAAGCCTGTAAGGTGCAGTAGTAAAGACTACACATCTAAATTTTATTTTTTTTCTTTTAACTAGAAGTGTGTTGACCCTTTTCCAATTTTAAGACTTTCAGCTCCTCCATGGTCCCTGTTGAGTTCACACAGACACGAGGCGAGTCTCGGTACGCCACAACGCATCGGTTGGTTTAATCTTGCCTGTTCCAACTTGCTTTTCTCATTGTCTTGTTTCCAGTCTGTGTTAAAGCCAGGCTTTGCTAGGTAACATAAATGTTCTGTTGGAGGCTAGTTACATCATGAAATCAAAACTATCCCCATGAAGGTGGGAGTGATTTAGTCAAAATGTTATTTGGCGTGATTGTGAACCTGACCTTTTCTCTGCTTTATACCAAAGCTCACAGAACAAGTCTCATTGTTTTGACAACTTGTGATTTGTCCCTCGGGGACACCAGATTTCCTGTGCAACCAGAGCTATGGTGTGTAGGCTGACATCAGGCCTTGTACAATGTTAGCAGCAGGGTTTCCTACGTGCACTTGCACGATCAGGACAAATTCAAGTCTTGGGATTCTCTTTCTACACCAAAGCAGATAATGACGTGTAAAGCTCTACATACAGGTGAGCTTCATATAAACCCTCACTTAAACCAAAGAAAAACTGGGCCAGGCGCTGGGGCTCACACCTGTAGTCCCAGCACCTTGGGAGGCCGAGGTGGGCGGATCAACTGAGGTCAGGTGTTCTAGACTACCCTGGCCAACATGGTGAAATCCCGTCTCTACTAAAAATACAAAAATTAGCTGGGGGTGGTGCTGTGCATCTGTAATCCCAGCTACTCAGGAGGCTGAGGCAGGAGAATTACTTGAACCTGGGAGGTGGAGGTTGCAGTGAGCCAAGATCATACCACTGCACTCCAGCCTGGAGACAGACAGAGCAAGACTCCATCTCAAAAAAAAAGATAAGAAAAAAACTGTATTGGCAGACTTTTCCTCAGAAAGAGTATCTCAGGAATTGATTCTAAACTTGCTTCATCAGAACAATCGCCTGAGACCCCCCCCGACCAAACTCCTTTTTTAAGTTCTAATTTCACCCCATGAGCCTCGCCAGCAGGCTTGAGAGAAACACTGTGTACTTGGGAGAAGATACAAACAAGGGTCTCTTCTGTTACTTGTGCTTTCCAAATAATTACTCTAAGGGTAGGTATTTGAGTGGCAACATACCCACCAAATCTGAAGATCTGACACAACTCAGTCTGTTTACAGTGAACACTTGTTGGCATGATAGTCGCTTTGTACTAGGCCAAGGTTGAATTTAAAATTACAGGTTGTATATAATTATATTTACATGAAATGATAGTGGATGTCTTTATTTATTTTGAGACTGGGTCTTGCTCTGTCGCCCAGGCTGAAGTGCAGTGGCACAATCATAGGCTCACTGCAGCCCTGAACTTCCAGGCCCAAGCAGCTCTCCCACCTCAGTCTCCCAGGTAGCTGGGACAAAAGACACGGACCACCACATCTGGCTAATTTTTTTTTATTTTTTTATTTTTTGTTTTTTATAGGGATGAGGTCTTGCTTCGTTGCCCCCTCTGGTCTCAAACTCCTGAGCGCAAGCGATCCTCCTGCGTCAGCCTCCCAAAGTGCTGGGATTACAAACATGAGCTGCTATGCCCAGGTATCTTATATGTTTATATAAATACGTATAAACAAAGGTATAATCTTTTTTAAATGTTTTTTTACCTAAACTGTGTATCAAAGGAGTGAAATTAGAATTTGGATTTTTCATGACAACCTGAAATAATGTAAAGGATCAGAATCTCATTTAAAAGACTGTTTTAGCCATCCGGGAAACACAGACTCCAAAGGAAAGGGGTCAGTGTTCCGGAGCTAAAAGGTTAAGGTCTCTTTTATACAGGCAGAAAACACATTTAGTGGAATCACGGCATTTTCCATATGAGTCTGGCTTATGAGCTACAGCAATTTGATTAGTTACAGCTTGATGTTTTTTCTTTCCAATTGAAAAGACTATATTTAACATTGTGATTTAGAGAGTATAGTAGTTGTGAGGTCCTTGTGTAAGAGAAGAAAGAGGGAAATTATAATGACGATCAACAGTTAGGAGGAAAGGGGTCTTCCCTGCTGCCCATGAGTTTTTTATAACATTTTACAAAACAGTGTAGGTAAAGAAAAAGGATAGTCTATGATCAGAGAAACAGGTTATAGGTGCCTGTTGCATGACTCAGGCCTCATCATCACATTCCTTTAAGGCTCTAAATAAAATTTCAACAGCTTTGATTTTGAATTATTTTCACACAAGTAAAGTGATTTAGTTATGCTAAATTTGAAGAAAGATTCCTTTTTGTCACCAAATTATTAACTCTCAATGTAAAAAATACGCTTTAGTAATTTTGTTAGAGATGCCTTTGAGTAGCCTTGTCCTAATTTTACTTGTTCCTATTTCAAAATGCTACCACAGAGTTAAATTCACCCTTAAAATATAGACCAATCCCAGAAATTAGGTCATCACAGATGACTAAAACATTTGCTCCCACATGGGCAGGTTGGAAAAAATAAAAGAACAAATGTTTATATTGATAGTATAAATAAATGTGATTGGGGCTAGTCCACAAAATTTGAATGCTTTAGGAACAGGCTTCTAACCCTGACAAATGCCTGTAGAAGTTGGATAACAAAGACATTTTAGATGCTTTGCTATCTTAGCTATAGTAATAGTAAAAGGTCATTCAAATACAAAGACTCAGATCCTAATGGCAGTGTTTGGGCTGACCACTGTGCTAAAGAAACAAGATCAGCCTATAGAAACACTCCTGTGATCTCACCGGTCTTGAGAAATTCAGAGGCTGCTATTAGTGTCAGAACAAGCCCCTGGTTTGAAAAAAGAAAATGGGGAAAGTTCTGATGCCTTTTACATCTTAGGAGGGCCAGCTGATGTCATGAAAAAAGGTGATAGTGGAATCTAACAAAAATTCTTCATGATGTTACCCATAATTAGATAGCTGTAAAAATAAATTGGCAACAATATTAATTAAGCCAGGTAATTTTAGAGGTATTGCCAATAATGGTTACAAAACATCCCCCTGTGAATGAAATCCTGATAAAACATTTAAATGTAGACGTGAGCAGGAACTGGAGAGCTTGAAGGCCCTTCAGACCCCTCCAAGTAGACTCCATACAAATGCCTTCTGCCGTGGATTATAAATACATTCTGGTTATTGTTTGTTTATATTCACTGTGGATTGAAAATTTCCCTGCCAGAGTGACAAAAAGTGCTTGATTTTGTTTTCCAACCTGGAAAATCCCCACTTACTTCTAATGACAGAGATACTCCTTTTTCCAGACCAATGCTGTGGTTTGTTTGGCCCTGCTGAGTCTCTTGTTGAAATATGATCCCCAGTGTGGAAGGTGGGGCTTGGTGGAGGGGATGGAGCCCTCGTGAATGGCTTGGTGCCATTCTCATGGGACTAAGTGCTCACCCTTAGTGCCCACAAGAACTAGTTGTTGAAAAGAGCTTGGCACCTTCCCCCACCTCCCTCTTCCTCCCTTTCTCACCGTGTGGTCTGCACGGGGCTCTCCTTCACCTCCACCAGGAGTGCACCCAGCCCAAGGCCCTCAGCAGAAGCCAATGCTGCTGCCTCTACAGCCTGCAGAACCCTGAGCCAAATAAACCTCTTCACACATTACTCAGCCTCAGGTGTTCCTTTACAGCAACACAAAGGGACTAAGACATACTGTTATTAAGAAACACTGAAGTTGTGCCTTTAATCCAGAGATTTCACTGTCCTTGTTTTCTCCAGTCCTCTAGAAAAACAGAACTAATGGAATTTTTTTAAAAATAGCATACCTCTCAGAAACCTCCAAAATTCTACATCTTAAGAAATTACCATTAGCATTATACGATCAACCACCTCTAGGTCCCATGTTGCTTCTTATGAATTCATAACATGCCACTGTATACAGTTTGAAGCTTCATCCCATCTTAGATTCTACATGATTACATTTTATTTCCAGCTTTATCTCAACATAAATATGAACTATACAGTATATCCAAAACACACCCGCCTCTACGTGATCTACAGCTTCTGTACAAAAGGCACACAAAGACACGAAATTTATTGCTATTATAATAATATGCTCCCCATACGATCTGTGCTTCAGTGGGACACTACATCTTATTAGCCCATGTCAGGCTTATATTGGTCTGCCACACACTCATGTATATTCAGAGTGGTTAGATATGTTCAGATATTTACAACACCCACGTCTCCAGTAATCCATTCTTTGAAAGAATACCCAGCAATCCAGCGTAAAATTATCATAGATGATTCCAAAACCTTCCAGTAGCGATCCTTGATTTGCTCTTCATGCATACTCTGCAAACTCCAGTTCCCACCAAAGGAATAAAACGACTAGAGAGAGAGTTCAAAACTAGTTGGTAATTTTAGCTGAAGCCATAAACGAGACCACTCTGCTCTGAAAGTCCAACCGACTAATCTAAGTCCATTCTTTAGAGTTATCAAGGACAGTCATATAAGCTTTATTTTCCTCTTAGCCAGCAAAGGGACAGGTCATGCCATAACAAATACTCCTTTTTTATACCTAGAAAAACACCACAGGGGAACAGGACAGTTTGTGACTATTAGAAAAAGCCTTGACCTCTAAAGCCAACCCAGCTGGCTTCTGGAACATGCGCCCATTACCTGGAGGCGCTCTAGGCCCTTGTCTTGCAGACCTGTTACGAGGACTAACAGTCCTTGCGTTTCTCGTAATTACCTGTAAATGGTTGGCTAGTATCTCCTGTCTAGAGTTTTAGATGGTACTGCACACCATTTCTTTCATCATGCGATTCAACAACTCGCTTTACAACAGACAGGAAAAAACTGTTAACTCTGGTGTAACTATAGACTGCGTTCATTAGACACTCTTGAGCCAGCCTCCACTCCAGAGCAAACCCCTGACTCCATAGACCCACCCCCCAAATAAGCTAATAACCAAGGCCCACATCCTACAATTGCTACTTCCTGACACCCTCTTAGGAGACACCCCAGCTCACTGTTGTTTGGGTCCCCCTTGCTGCAGGGAGCAACAAGCCCAGCTGCTTTAACTGCGGTGCGTTGCTGCTGCACTGCGGGGAAGGGCGTTGACCATTTGGGTGTACACATGAGTGCAGTGGCATGGATGAGTGTGGCCTGGGTTCCAGTCCTGGCTCTGCCATTTACTGATCATGGCCCTTGGGCACACTCTGCCCCTCTCAGAGCCTCAGTTTCCCTATATGCAAAACAAACATCCTCAGGAGGATGGTGTGAAACATGAGGCCAAATAAATAAGTGGTAGCACTTCCTATTGTCTGTTACTGTGGTATTCCAAAGACATTTCCCAGTGTTAAACCCCTAGAAATGGCAACTTCCTGATGGGGATGGAACTCATTTGGCAGGGGGCATGAGGCCACCAATCTGGAGCCTCCTGAGCTCCTTGCCACTGCCTGGGGCCCCTCCTCCCACGCCCTCATCCCTCCCACCCTCACCACTGGGTCCACCGCCAGCCTGGGCTCCCGTTTGCCTCAGCCCCGCCTCTCAGCAGAACTGCGGCAGCATGTCCAGGGACAAGGTTCTTAGAGGGACTGGATTTGGACCATTCCTCCCAGCCAGATATTTTGCAGCAGGGAGAGGAGGCTGCATCAGATTCCTATGCCCACAAAGCACCACCTCCTTTTCCAGTTAAGGCAATGTGGGGCTGCAAATTTTCATGCATTCAGGATCCTTCTGTAACTTAATTCCTTTGCCGTCAGTCCCCTCCCGCTTCTGCAGAATGCATGCTCCTAGCAACTCTCACAGACCTGACCCCTGACAGTCATTGCCCACCCGGAACTCCAAAGCCAGCAGGGCTTGCTGCTGCCTAGAAAGACCTATTGCCATCATTCCCTTGTCCCTGCTCTATAAACGTCCTTTTGGGAAAAGCACTCCCATCTCCCTCCTTTCCCACACAGACAGCGCACTATGCGTGCTATTAGTCTGTGCCTTTTGTAAAAATAGGAAGTGTCAGCCGGGCGCGGTGCCTCATGCCTGCAATCCTAGCACTTTGGGAGGCCGAGGCAGGCGGATCCCGAGGTCAGGAGATCGAGACCATCCTGGCTAACACGGTGAAACCCCGTCTCTACTAAAAATACAAAAAATTAGCCGGGCTTGGTGGCGGGCGCCTGTAGTCTCAGCTACTCGGGAGGCTGAGGCAGGAGAATGTCGTGAACCCGGGAGGCGGAGCTTGCAGTGAGCCGAGATTGCGCCACTGCACTCCAGCCTGGGCGACAGAGCGAGACTCCGTCTCAAAAAAAAAAAAAAAAAAAAAAAGGGAAGTGTCACATCCACTGTAAGCAATACTCCCTCTACAAACGCACTCCCAGACTAAACCGTCACGGACCTAAGAAGAGCACATGAGATCCGCAATCAGCCCCGGGCTCATGGCCTCCCACGGGAGGGAAAGCCTGTGGCTCCGCTTTCAGGAGCAATGTTATGGGAAGCTATATATGGAAACTAGAATTTGGCCTTACAGTGCTACGGTGCTGTACGTTTTATAAAATTAGAATCCAGTGTCTTTTAGAGGTGGCGGGAACCTTGGAGAGTGCATGCTGGGTAGGTGCCCCATTGAGAACACCCTGAGTGGGAGGGAACCCCGCCCAGCTAGCATATGGCAGTGAACAGGGAGTGAGGGGATGGCCCAGAACCCGCACCTGGCCTCACGCAGCCAGTCGCAGCACAGAGGCCACCAGGGGTCAGTCTAGCAGCATCATAAGTGAGAAAGACCCTGGTTCTTCTGCTCCATGGAGAACACCCCTGCAGTTCACTAGCCCAGCCCATGGCAGGCGGGGAAGCAGAACGGACTCTTCATAGCCACCAGCCTGTTGCCTCCTCGCCTGATGAAAATCAGACCAATACGAAATTACAGAGAGAAGGAAGAGCCATGACTTCTTAAAAAAAACAAAATAGAGCTTCTTCTTGATCAAAGAAAACCTGCTTTAAACTTGCCAAGTGGATTAACAGTTTTTAATCATTTATTATAAATACTGTACCAACACATCGATTATAAGGAACTGGTTTTCCCCAACCATTCTGGGTTTAGCCCCATCATCAACATTGTGAATAAATATTCCTAATGTAGCCATTGCCCTGTGCTAATAAACTTTCAACAGGTAAGAAACATGGCCTCAGGTGAGATATTTTACACCACACAGACATGGAGAGTCAGGCAGAGAAGCCACATGCCTATCACTCTATCCTTGTGGATTAGGTACAGGCCACCCGTTACTTGGGAAATTTCACCGTCAGTGTTTCCCACACTGGGGTTTTAAAATCTAGACACTTGGCTTCAAGATGCATTACAAAGACTAATAGTCATTAGTTCCTGGGAAGTGTCTGCATTAGAGTTGGCAGACATGTCCTGCCCACAGCCTTCCACACTACAAAGCAGCCATCTTCACAACAGATGGCTCGGCCAGTCACCAATAGCAAAAAAAAAAAAAAAAAAAAAAAAAAAAAAAAACCTCGTGCCAGTACAGGCCAGGTCCAATAGACACTCTTCTGACAGCAGGATTTTTTCACACTGAGATAAAATTCACATCAAACAAAATGCACTTTAACCATTTTAGAGTATAAAGCTCACTGCTTTTTAGTGTATTAACAGTGATGGGCAACCATCACCACTCTCTCATTCCAGAACATTTCATCAACACTGCCACCTCCCCCACCTCCAAAAACAACTTCCATGCCCATGAGCAGTCACTACCCACTGTCCTTCCCCTAGCCCCTGGCAACCACTATCTACCTTCTGTCTCTCTGGATTTGCCCATGCTTAACACTTCATATAAATAGAATCACACAATATGTGGCTTTTTGTGTCTGGATCCTGTCACCTCGGTAAAGTCTTTGAGGTCAGTGGCTGCTGTGGCATATGTATCAGTACTTCATTCCTTCTTATGGCTGAATAAGGCTTCCGTGTATGTATATACCACACATTTATCTACTCATCTGTTGATGGACATTCGAGTTACTTCCACTTTTTGGCTGTTATGAATAATGCCACTGTATACACAATGCATTCATGTACCAGTTTTTGTGTGAACATACGTTTTCCATTCTCTTGAGTATTACCCAGGAGTGGAATTCCTGGGTCAGATGGTTAATCTATGTTTAAATTTTTAAAGAACTGCCAAACTGTTTTACAAAGCAGCTGCACTTTGTAACATCCCCACCAGCAATGCACGAGTGATCTGACTTCTCCACATCCACTCCCACAGTTGTTTTTGCCCATTTTTCCTTTACCTTTTTTTTTCTTTTGGAAGTGCTATCTCATTTGCATTTCCCTAATGATTAATAATGTTGAGAATCTTTTCATGTGCTCATTAATGAGTCAATGGTATGTCTTAAAGAAATGTTTGTTCAAATCCTTTGTCCATTTTTTACTTAGACTGTCTTTTTATTGTTGATTTATACAAAGGTCTTTATATAAGTTGGATGTTAGATTCTTCCCCAATATATGATTTGCAAGTACTAGGCCCATTCTGTGAGTTCTCTTTTCAATTTCTTGATACACTTTTCTTGTACAAAGAGTTTCAATGTCATGAAGTCCACCTTCTCCATTGTTTTCTTTTGTTGCTGGTGCTCTTGTGTCTTAGTCTGTGTGTGCTGCTGTCAACAAAATGCCTTAGACTGGGTAATTCATCAACAACAGAAATGTATTGCTCCCAGCTCTGGAGGCTGGGAAAACCAAGATCAAGGCCACTCCTGTCCGGGTGTGTCACCAGCAAAATCTGCCAAGCCCTTAACCTCCTCTGAAAGTTCTGCTCACCTCCTTGCTGAAGCCAAAACTTAAAAACACAGGTCTATAAATTGTGGCATAGACAACGTTGGTTGTGCTTGAGCAAGAGACCTTCCATTGTATTTTAATCCTCACTGGACTTACAGAGAGTAACTGTATATTTTGTGGCGGTGGTGGGTTTTTTTAAGCTATTTTTAAAATTGTAGTAAAACATATTTAATAATATTTGTCATTTTAACTTTCTAGGTGCACAATTCAGTGTCAATTACATTCACAGTGTTGTGCAACCATCACCCCTATCTATTTCCGAACTTTTCCATCATTCCCAACAGAAACTCTGTAAACGTGAATCCATGATTCCTCATTGCCTACTCCCCCCAGCTCCTGGTAACTTCTATCTGCTTCCCGTCTCTATGAATTTGCCTGTTCTAGATATTTCCTGTAAGTGGAACCATACGATGTTTGTCCTTTTGTGTCTGGCTTCTTTCACTAGCATATTTTCAAGTTTCCTCCATGCTGTAGCAGGCAAGAGAGTTTCCCTCTTGTTTCAGCTGGATAATGTTCCATCAGCTGGATAATGTTCCATGGAATGTATACACCTCATTTTGTTTATCCATTCATCATTTGATGGACATTTGGGTTGTTTCAACCTTTTGGCTATCGTGAATGATGCTGCAGTGAACATTGGTTTACTATTATCTGAGACCTTGTTTTCAATTCACTGGGGTGTATACTTAAAAGTGAACTGCCGGGTCGATGGTCAGCCCATGTTTAGCCTTGTAGGGAAACATCAAACTGCTTTCCACAGAGGCTGCACCATCTCACATCCCCACCCACAGTGTGTGAGGGTTCCAATTTCGCCACACCCTCAGCAGCCGTAGTTACGGTGTGTGCACACGGCCATCCTAGGAGGTGTGAGGTGTGGCTTGTCACTGTGGTTTTTATTTTCATTTCTCTTATGATTAATGAAGTTCACATTTCATGTGTTTGTTAACCATTTGTATAGCATCTGTGGAGAAATGTCTGTTCGAGTCTTTTGCCCAGTTAATTGAGTTGGATATTTTTTTGTTGTTGGATTGTAGGAATTCTTTATGCATTCTAAACACTAAATCCTTATCAGATAAATGATTTGCTAACATTTTTCTCATTCTCTGGGCTACCCTTTGATGATGTCCTTTAATTTAAAAATTAAAAGGTTTTTTGGCCAGGCACAGTGGCTCATGCCTGTAATCCCAGCACTTTGGGAGGCCAAGGCAGGTGGATCACCTGAGGTCAGGAGTTCGAGACCAGCCTGGCCAACATGGTGAAACCCCATCTCTACTAAGAAGACAAAAATTAGCTGGTCATGGTGATGGACACCTGCAATCCCAGCTACTCAGGAGGCTGAGGCTGGAAGATTGCTTGAGCCCGGGAGGCAGAGATTGTAGTGAGCCGAGATTGCACCACTGCAGTCCAGCCTGGGGGACAGAGCGAGACTCCGTCTCAAAAAAACAATAAAACAAATAAAAATTAAAAACAAAAAGTAAAAGATTTTTATATTGATCAAGTTCAGTTTATCTATTTTTCTTTTATTGCTTGTGCTTGGAGTGTTATACCTGAGAATCCACTGCGAAATCCAAAAATATTTACCTCTTTGTTTTCTTAAGAGTTTTACAGTTTGGGCTCTTATATTTAATATTTAGGTCATTGATCCATTTTAGTTAGTTTTTTTATATGTGTGAGATAGAGGTCTGACTTTTTGTTTGTTTTGTTTGTGGAAATCAAGTTGTCCTGGTACCATTTGTTGAAGGGATTATTCTTTACCCCAATGAACAGACTTTGCAGCTGTGTCACCTTCCCTGGATCCTTCCCTGTTATTCTCTGTTCTCTTTTTCAGACCATGGAGAAGCTCTCCTCCCTCTGGCCCATGAAACCTTTCAGGAATTTGATGGATCAGCTATCACATTCCCCTGGCCCCATCCCCAGTTTGCTTTCCTCCATGGAAGGAAGTAATATTTAATAAGCAGCTACTAAGTGCTAAACTAATGCATTGTTTCACTTCACATCACTACTCAGAAAGGTAAACACAGTTATTATCACCATGTGACAAATGAGAAGACTGAAGCTCCCCAAGGTTAAGTAACCTCCCTGAGGTCTCACAGCCAGACTGCAGAGTCCAGGGCCTTGTCATATTATACCGAGCTAATCTGCCAGTTTTGGTTTTTTTCACTTCGTCCACCAGAACAAAATTTTGAGTTTATTTAGCGTGTCTACAGGGTAGAGGCCATTCTCCCAGCTCTCTGAGGAAGAAGGTGTCCAGGGAATGCAGAGCTAGCAATGAGTCAGAGCTGAGGGGAGCACCGGGCCAGGGCCTGCCGAGGAGCGGGGAGTGGATAGGGTTTCGCTGGGTTCAAATTCTCCCTCCTAGCTGTGTGGACTGGGGCAAGTCAGGCCACCTCCCTGAACTTCCGGTGCCTCATCTGTGAAATGTTTACAGATGGTGAAATTGGACTTTCATTCAAGATGGCAGACCAAGTACACATAGAAACCATTCTTCAAACACTTAGCAATGACAGGAAAATACCAGGTATACAAGAGACCACTGCAGAGATGCCCAGAGACAAGGGTTGAAGCCCCCCACCACCTACCCATTAGGAGGCTAGTACCAATGCAGGGCCCCCTAATGTATGAAGCCAAGAGCACAGGCTCTCATATACAGCCCTTACAAGATACACATGCAAGAAATATTCTGAAGAGACAATGGATTCACAACCACTTCATGAAATTTCCACAAACTCCCCAACTGGAAGAATTTACGTCTGAGGAAATAGAGAATAATAGTGCAACCTTAAAAGAATTTTGCAATAAATATATTAAAAACTCAAAGAGATAAAGAAGGGAATAACAGCCATAAACAAGAACAGGAGGCCGGGTGCAGTGGCTCATGCCTGTAATCTCAACACTTTGGGAGGCCGAGGCGGGTGGATCACCTGAGATCAGGAGTTCAAGACCAGCCTGACCAATATGGTGAAACCCTATCTCTACTAAAAATACAAAAATTAGCTGGGCATGGTGGCGGGTGCCTGTAGTCCCAGCTACTCAGGAGGCTGAGGCAGGAGAATCGCTTGAACCCGGAACGTGGAGATTGCAGTGAGCCAAGATCGCGCCATTGCACTCCAGCCTGGGCAACAAGAGCAAAACTTTATCTCAAAGAAAAGAAAGAACAGGAGACTATGAGACAAAAGCAGGCAGATATAAGAAAGAACCAGGAGCTCATATGTGAAAAGTTTCATTGCTAGAATAAAAACTCCACAGAAGCGGAAGTGGAGAGCCAGAGGTGGGAGGGATTTAACAAGGCCACATGGGATTTTAGTGGCAGCCACGGAGCCAGAACCAAGGCCTAACTCAGGAGTTTGGTTCCGAGGAGGATGAATGTATGTGCTTTCTTCTCCCTTTTTTTCTTTCCCATTTCTCTCCCTGAAGTATAAGGTTGGTGCTGAGCTGAACACCACAGCCCCTTCCTAGATGAGAAACAGGGCTTCCATGCCTTGATTGGGCAGGGTGGGACAAAGAGTTTTGCCTCAAGATGGAGAGCTAACAACCTCTGTCCTCTAGAACATGAATTAAACAGAACCTTAATGTCTACAGAGGAGTTTGTTAAATGAAGCCCAGAAAAGCTGCCAATAGAGTTGCCTCTTACATATTGGCCTTGGGATAGTGGGCATGTTGGGTCTGTAAACCAAGTCCTCAGAGCCTTGGTTTCCTCAACTGTAAAATGGGTTCAAGAGTCCCCACCCCAGGCAGATGTTTTGAGAATTAAACAGGAAGTTGTGTGTTCGAGGCACCCAGCACATCAGAATTGCCTCCCACAAATACCTTCCTGGGGCTTCACAGCCCTCTAATTTGAGCTCAGAGATACCTCAGACAAGGACAAAGCTACAGGCACATGGGACCCCAGCCTCCAACAGAGAAGAGAGAAATTTGAAACCCTGAAGGGACAAAAGGTGAATGGAAGCAGAACAGGAAACTGATTCACCATATCCTCACCCATGTGGCCACAGGGCAGCCTACGCCCTTGGCCTTTTGCTCAGAGCAGAGGATGGGGCCTGAGAAGGTGCGAGCTCTGTGCTGGGCATGAGGCCATGAGACGTTCACAGCAAGAGGTGGCATCTGTCAAGCTGGCGCACATCTGAAAACACTGCTCAACTTCGCCACTTACAAGAGAAATGCTAATTTGTCTTAATTTACACAATAAGATATTTTTCCCATCTAAAATTAAAAAATGTTTTTAAAATGGTAAAACCCAATGCTAGGAAGCCGTGGACCTGGTAGATGGAGATGTTAGTTGCTTCCTGGCCAAGGAGTCAGGAAATATGAAACAAAGAGGATGTTACTGACCTCCCATCTTGATCACCGCACCAGGCCTTGCGTTTTCTTCCCATTTCCAAACTCAGCCTTCCAGCCCCGCCAAAACCTCTCTTTGTTTCCAGAAGGACATTCTCTCCCACTACACACTATTCCTGCTCCCTGGGATACTTTCTTTACGGTCCCCAACCAAATGTCACTCACCCTTCAGAACTCAGCTAAGGCGTTCCCTCCTACAGGAAGCCCACCAGATTGGCCCCTCTCAGCTGGCTCAGGAGCTTCTCTGGACCTCCAGGGCCCAGTGGGCTGCCACCATGCCAGTGGTTATCACCCTGAGCCTGTGTGCCTCATGACACACGTCTGGAATAGGCACATGATCAATAGAGGAGGAGTGAGATATTTGGAGAAGAGGTGTGCTCTGTATGGTCTTGGAACGGTAAAGGGAATGGGGGTCAAGGTTGGTGTCAGCAGCTGGAAAACCTTTCTAAGAATTGTAACTCACTTACCAGCCCAGGCTGCGTTGAGAGGTAATGGATGAGCTGCCCATCACAGGAGGTGTGCAAGCAGTGATCAGAAACTGCGTCCCTCAGCCCCTCTCCTCCATACCCAGGGAGCCTGGGCGGGGAGCTTTCCTAGCGGACATCACCCGGGAGGGAACGGGGAGCTTTCCTCGGGGACATCACCTGGGGGGGACGGGGAGCTTTCCTAGCGGACATCACCCGGGAGGGGACGGGGAGCTTTCCTAGGGGACATCACCCCGGGGGACGGGGAGCTTTCCTAGGGGACATCACCGGTGGGGACGGGGAGAGCTTTCCAGGCAGCGGCAGCGGTGAATGCAGAGGCCCAGAGGGGAGTCCGCGTGGGCGCTGGAAACCCTGGAGGAGGGTGAAGGGGCTTGGTCAGAGCCGCCAAGAGAAAAGATCCTGCAAGCACCTTCCAGGGGACTGTTGGGAAAAAGCTGAGTGTTGGGAGGGAAACTGAGATGGGGCTTGCATGACTGAAATAATGGCCTCTGGAACGTGTCTAGACTTGCTGGCTCCTTGCTTCTAGCCTTCCTAGGCTCCTAGATCGATTGTATTCCCATTATCTCAAGTAGCAGAACATGTTCCGTAGAAAAGCTAAACCATCACAGCTGTAAATCATGTGCTTAATGCAACGTGTCCTTTTGACAGCCACATTCTCACCACCTGTTTCTTTGTTGGATTACAAATAAATACCGTGGGCTCCCAGAGCTCAGGGTCTTCGCAGCCTCCATGATGGCGATGACCCCCTGGTGTCCCACTTTTATCTCTCAAACTGTCTTTTTCTCAATCCTTTGACTCTGCCGGACTTTGTCACCCCCACGACCTGGTGTTGGGTCTGATCACCCCAACAGGGGACAGGAATGGGGACCTGGAGGTGAGGGCCTGAGGTCGTGCTGCTAGCGGAAAAGGAGACGTGCAGAGGTGAAGCAGGCAGTGAGGGCGGGATTGACCCCAGCTGGCCTCGGCCTCTGGAAACATCGCCACCTGGAGAGTGCTCTGCGGAACTGCACCCTCTTTCGTTGGTTCCTCAGCGGACATCTCTGGTGGGTCTGTTAGCGTTCCCAATGTACTTGACACCCATTTTTTAATGCCTCCTTCTTATAAAATAAGATTACTTTCATCAATAATGATGACATGAAACATAATGATGACCAAAAGGCAATGAAAGCCACAATTCATTTACTGTCTGATATATTTTACATAATGTAAGTCGTTCAGCGACTCACAAATGAATTTTAATAAAACTGAACTACCTGCAAACCACGATTTAAGAAACCACTAAATTGATGCAATTTGTCTTAATTCGTTCATTAGCTTTTAAAACAATTAATTTAAAAACAATGTTTGCATTTTGGTATTTTTCAGATTCAAATTCAGTAATACGGTTCATACGGGAGCTAATACGTGCATCTACCAATGAAAAGCATTGTATCTCATGATTTGCAAGGCACCCCTGGGGGGGTGAAGACCCCAGCTGGATGGGGGAGGGGGGGTTAGCGTTTGTTAAAATAGCTCCAGGTGATCCTAACGTGCACCTGGCATGGGGCACACTCATCTCCACACAGGGGAGCTGGGCTCAGCCAGGCACGCAGCCCTTGGGCCCACACCCGCCTGGCCTCAGGTTCCCCACTCCACCCCAGCCGCTCACTCACATGAAGGTGTCCCTAGGGTGGAGAGTGGGACCCAGCCCCATCTTCCCAGGGGTCACTTCCAGGCTCAGTCCACACAAGAACAGTCACCTCCATGCACTTTTCATAACCCACCCCTCCCCTGACACCTACCCTCACCCCGGAAAAGATGAGGGCGCTCAGACAAGAGGGAAGCTGGGTTTATTCTGGTGATCTACGCCTGACCACCTGAGGATGCCCAGGCTCCAATGTCAGGGCCCAGGGGAAGGCATCCGTGTAAGCAATGCCCTCAGCTCAGGGCCCTCCGGGAGCCACCAGCCCAGGACAGGCTGCACAGCCGCACCCTCCCGGACCTCCCTGCTCCCCAGCCAGAGAGGACAGGGGGCCAGGCAGGCAATGCAAGGCCGGTGTGGCCTGAGACACCCCCTACCACAGCCCAGCTGTGTGTGGAGACAACCAAGCAGGGCTCAGCCAGACTGCAGGACCTGGGGTGGGGCTGAGGGTGGGGAAGAGCCGGCGTGGAGGGCTCCCCTGGGCAGCGGGAGCTCAGGCACAGGCAGCCTCAGCCTTCTGTGTGCTGCCTGGGGGCCCTTCCACCTTGCTGGCCAGGCTGTAGTAACAGGCTCGCATGCGCTGCTCCACGGTCAGGAAGTCGGGGCGATCCTCCCACCTGTGGGGCGTGGGGTACATCCAGGCTGCTGACCACGCCCCCAGGACCCAGCTTCACCAGTGGGTGGGCATGCACTGTGCTTGGCTGAGGTAGACTTTTGGGGCTCAGAAAGTCAGCAGGGCTGTTGGGGTGGCGGGACATTGGGTGGTGGAGAGGACTCTGGGGTGTGAGAGCGTTGGGCAATGCCACACAGCCTAAGGAGGCAGAGCTGCCCACACACAGGGTGCTGGGATGACCCCTCTACCGAGCGTTGACCAGTGAGGACTCAGGGGACTGAGTGGACTTGGTGTCAGAGTGGCAACTATTGACCACGGGGACCTGGGATATAGAAAGCTGATGCTCTGTGCATGCACCTGGGGCCAGGGTATCAGTGTGCTGGGGCTTAGATGAGAGGGAGTGCAAGGCTGGTGATCAGCAGAAGCCTGGAGCATGGCAGTGGGTCTGGCCAGCGGGGAGCGGCAGTATTAACGGTACTGTGCATGGGGTATCCATGGACTGTGTTGGGGTGCTAGGTGCTAGCCTCTTTGGGTACTGGGGTGTGGTGCCCTGGGTGTTTCCTGATGGAGGTGGAATTAACACATGTCGCAGGAGGGTGGGCCAGCCAGAGAGGGTGTCTATCTGTTGGGCTGCTTGGGTGTTGGGGTGTCAGCATGCTAAGTGCTGGCCGGTGGGGGGTCATGCGTTACAGTGTCCACACATTGCATGGGCAGTCTAGGGCGTCCGCTTGTCTGGGGGTGTGTTGCCTGTTGTCTGATGGGAAGTTGGGATACTGATGGTGTTAGGAGTTGAGATGTCTGAAGGTTGGGCTTCAACCAGGCAGAGGTGGGGGCTGGAATAGATGAGTATTTGGTACCTCAGTGCTCACCTGTCTGGTAGTTGGGTGCTGTGTGCTGGCTGGTGGGGACTGGAGTGTTGGGTACTGGAGAATCATCTCATGCCCTGAGTGTCAGTGTCATAGGTTGAGTAGCAGAGTATGGACCTGTTTGCGTGTTGCAGGGTCCATGTGTTGAGTGATGGCTGAGGTTTTAGATGCTGAGGCACAGGCCCACAGGTGGGATGGCAGGGTGTGGCACACTGGAGCAGGACAGCAAACCCTGGTGTGTTGGAGAGCTGGGTGTGGGGGTAGGGGGCAGCTGCAAAGGCTATGAACTGGGTGAAGGGCTTTGGGTGAGATGACATTGGGTAGAGTTATATTGACATCAACTCATCGGGCACCAGGACTTTCCAGGGGTCAGCCCAGCCGGGTCCCCTCCCCACTGGCACTCACTTGTAGATCCAGCAGTCACTCATGAGTGCGTACAGTTCGGGTGGACACTCTGGTGGGCACTCCATCCGCTTGCCCTGCTCGATGAAGGCCATGACCTCCGGCCCTTTCATCTTCTGCTCAAGCCGGGGCAGAGACACCTGTGAGTGACCAGTGTCCTCCTCCTCATCCCCCTCCCCACCACACCGCCCACCTGCCTCTGCCCGCGCCTGCCTTGTAGGGCTTCTGGCCGTAGGACAAGGCCTCCCACATGGTGACCCCATAGCTCCAGACATCGCTGCGGCTGGAGAACTTGCGGAAGTTGATGCATTCGGGTGCGTACCACTTGAGCGGCCACTTCCCTGCTGAGCGGGCCTGGGGAGGGGGAGATGCTGCTGGATCAGGGGTCAGGGACCCTCTACCCACCCAGCCCATCCAGTCGGGCATCACAGGGGCAGAGGCTTACAGTGTAGTAGCTGTCGTCGGCACCCAGTGCTTTGGAGAGGCCAAAGTCGCTGATCTTGGCGTAGTGCCGGTTAACCAGCAGGACGTTGCGGGCCGCCAGGTCACGGTGCACAAAGTTCTTCTCCTCCAGGTACTTCATCCCCATGGACACCTGGTGCAGCAGCTCGGCCACATTGCTCACAGGGATCTCCTCCCTGGGGTGGCGGGGAAGGCGGGGTCAGCTGGGAGAAGACTAGCCAAGTTCCCAGGGGCAAAGCATGCTTCTCTGACCCAGCTGGGCATGAGCCAGGTGACCATGTGTTCAAAAACGCTTATTGAGCACCTGCTGTGTGCCAGGCGTGGGGCTGGGGACACAGCAGTGAACAAAACAGGCAAAACTCCTGCCTTCATCCAGTCTCAAGGCTTTAGGGATCACCCACACGCTACGACTCCCAAGTCTAGACCTATGCCTGCACCCTCGACGTGCTGAGGTCTCACAGGCATCTCAAAGATAATGTGGCCTGATTGTCCCCATCCCCATGTGCACACACATATGGCTCCTCCACTGTCCTCTCCAGCAGCTCCTCTTTCTCTCACACCCAATCCATCAGCAAACCCTGGCAGTTCTGGTGTCAGAATCTCTCCAGAATCCACCGCACTCCTCATCTCTGCCTCTGCCACCGGGAAGCAGCCGCAGCATCACTCACCTGGACCCCCAGGCAGGAATAGTCAGCTCCGCCCAGGCCCTCGCTCCCTCCTGTCTCCCACTGTCTTGTCCTCTCTGCCCCTGAGTCAGGTCCTCCCCCTCCTCTGCTCACAGCACCCCCTAGCTCCCACCCAACTCAGGGTAAAACTCCAAGTCCTCCTGGCAGCCCGCAAGGCCTGGCACGGTCTGCTCATCCCCTCCCTGCCCGCACCACACGAGGCACGGGACCACCTCAGGGCCTCTGCACAGGCGGTGCCCTTTGCCTGGAATGCCCTTCCCCACGTCTGGGCATGGCGGCCTCCCTCAGTTTGTTCAAACCTCCCTGCTCACTGCACCTCGCACCCCAACACTCCCAACCCCCTGGAGCTGCGGCAGGCTTGTGCCCACCACACTATCTTCCCACATGCTCTAGATTTCATCAGGATTGTTACTTACTGTCTCTCTTCTCCAACCAGAATACAGAGCATGGATCTCTGCCTTGTTTATTCGCTAATGAATCCCAAGTGCTACTAACAGTTCCTGTCACTGAGAAACTGTCCAATAAACACCTGTCAAATGACTGAATGTGGGAGCCAGGGGCACACTGGGAAGGTGTGTGCACCAGCCAGAGGGCACAGATCAGCAAAAACGTGCCTTGGGGAGTGCAGAACTTGTGTCTGTGAGGGTAAGAGTTTGGGGATGAGGAACCACAAATGAAACTGCAAAACTTTTCAGTAAAGGGCCGGATAGTAAGGATTTTAGCCTTTACAGGCCACAAGTGATCTCTGTCACATCTTCGTTTTTGTTTCTTTAAAAAAAAAAAAATTAAAAATAGAAAACCACGCAGCACGTAAACAAAGGGCAGGTTCCAGATAACTGGCAATGGGCACTTTCCCAGGGGCCATGAATTTGGCCCAGGGAGTCTGGGGAGCAGCTGATGTGTACAAAGCTCTTACTAGCAGTGCCCTTTATTTATTTTTATTTATTTATTTTTTTGAGATGGAGTTTCGCTCTGTCCCCAGGCTGGAGTGCAGTGGCACAATCTCGGCTCACTGCAAGCTCCGCCTCGTGGGTTCAAGCGATTCTCCTGCCTCAGCCTCCTGAGTAGCTGGGAGGCGCCCACCACCACGCCCAGCTAATCTTTTGTATTTTTAGTAAGGACGGGGTTTCACCATGTTGGCCAGGATGGTCTGGATCTCTTGACCTCATGATCCACCCGCCTTGGCCTCCCAAAGTGCTGGAATTACAGGCATGAGCCACCGCACCCGGCCCTAGCAGTGCCCTTTATAGGTGCCGACTCATTCGATCCTCGCAAAGGCCCTGGAGGTAGACACTGTTATTACCGCACTGGTGCAATGGTGGACTGAGGGTTAGCTCTGCTTTGCAGGCATGGGTATGGGTGTGGGTGTGCAGGCTGAGAGTGTGTCCACGATGGTGTGGAAGTGCCCCGGCTTCCCACACACGCATGCACGCGGGTGCATGTCCACCATGCCCAGGATGGGCCCCGGCCCCACCCACCCGATGGCCGGGCCCACCCGGTGCTCACCTCTTGCCGACCAGGAACTTGTGCAGCGGCCCGCCCCCAGCCATCTCCATGACCAGCATGAGGGCCTCGGCCTGGCAGACGCCAATGAGCCGCACGATGTAGGGGTTGTCCAGCTGGTGCATGATCTGCGCCTCGCGCATCATCTCTTCCGTGTCTGCCTTCTCCGTGCCCTGCTTCAGCACCTTGATGGCCACGTCGATCTGCTTCCTGCCCGACCCGGCCACGGGAGGCACGTGGGCGAGGGGCACCGGCCCTGCTCGGCCCCACACCCCCACCCACCCATCTCTCTTCTCCCTTGAGTTGTGTGGTAGACAACTGTAGTCGCCACCCAGGCTGGGACCAAGGCGCTCAATGTCCCTGCAGCCTGGAGCGTCTGCTGAGGACGGCTCACAGCCGGATCGCTCACCGGGAACAGCCCATCGCCAAAAAGAATCCAAAGTGACACCCTCCCCAGGGGCAGCCTGTCAGGGGCCAGTGGACTCAGGGATCGGGGACCCCACTGCAGCTCCCCTGGGTTGGGAACTTCAGCTCCACAGCCTCCCCCTGCCCAGGCCCCATCCCACCCCCGTCAGGTGTCCCGAGCTCTCTCAGGGAATCCTCCAGCGTGCAACGTCCTGCCCCAGAGTCTGTTTCCCAGGCAAACTGCTGTGAGACAGACATCCCGGCTCCCGTCCCACAGCCCGGTGAAGCCACTCCCCTCTGCCCCAGGCGGCGGTGCTCCCACCACGGCAGGGGCGGCCATACTTGCGCATGCGGTACACGCCCTGGCGCACTGAGCCAAAGTTGCCGCAGCCAAGTTCAATGTCAGCTATGAGGAGGTTATCGCGCTTCAGGAAGAGCTTCTTGTCCTTGAGCTCCTCTGGGTCGCTGTAGGGGCTCTCATACACGCTCGTGTCCATGGGCATCGGCCGCGGTTTGTCTGGGGACGTTATGCGTGCTGGGCACACACAGCGGTACACTCCCAGGTCAGGGGCAGGGGTGTGGGGAGCAAGGCAGCCTCAGCCCCCACAAGCACCTGCCCCAGACAAGGGTGCCGTCCCTGGAGCATGCACAAGCAGGTGGGTGCCCATGCGTGTTCCTGCACATCCACACGCACACACTGGCATACACTCCTGGCCACAGCTGTGGGTGCCCCATGAAGCCACATGAGGGTGGACTCTAGGGGCGTGTGCATTGGTATCCACGTGGCACCGTTACTGTGCCAGCTGGGGTGTGCATGTGTGTGCATTCGTACGTGTACGCCTATGGCCGGGCCCGTCCCTGTCTGCGTATGCAGCACACAGCCACATTTACGAGGCCTCCAAAAGCGAGCCTCTAGGTGCACATGTAACTATGTGTCTTCTCTGTGCATACACATGTTCAGGTCTGGGCCCACCCATGAGAAACAGGAGCACCCGCAGCAGACCATTTTAGGAATGTGAGCTCTGGGGCCCATCGTGGGTTCACATCCCGCCTCTACCACTGCCTCACATCCCCATAGACAGACCCCTCCCTCTCTCATCTGTAAAGTGAGGTTAATCACCATAGCCACTTCATAAGGCATGTCAGGAGGGTTCGGTGGCTCATACACACAGTGACCTCGGAACGTGACTGACACATAGTAGGTACTCAACAAACGTGTGTCTGGGGAGCCTCAGGCAAGGCCAAGTGTGCTCCCTGCACGTCAGTACACACTGGGACGTACATGTGCACAGGCAGGTGTGATGGGTGTGGGCACATGTGTGCACAGGTGTTAACCAAGCCAACTGCCACAGCCTGGCCCGGCCCACAGCGCCCCCCGTGAAACCCCACAGCCCTGACAGCGACCCTGATCTCGGCTCAGCATGAGCCCCAACCCGCGTCCCCACCTCTGCCCGCTCACCTGGCTCAGGGGTGTATCCATCTGAGTTGAGGGTGTCGATTCGTCTCTGAGGCTAAAGGCCACAGGGTCAGCAAGGCCTGAGCTGGGGACGTCCAGCCCCTCTCATGAGACCTATATCCACTGAGGACTCCCAGAGACAGTGGAGAGAGAGCTTCTTCCGCTCCACAGGCACCCCAGCCTCCATCCCAGCCTCCCCCACAGCCACTCCCCAGCTCCATCCCCAAGGCCACACTCCAGGTGCCCCCAACTCACATGAGTCAACGTGGATGGGTGGGCTGGGAGTGTGGGAGCAGCAGCCCCTGGGGGAGCAGAAGGGACAGTGAGGGCTGGGGGCCAGGTCTCCTGCCGCCCCCGCCCACCGCCCGCCCGCCTGCTGCCGTCACCTGAGGCGTTGCTGGCACTGCTGTTGGGGCAGGCCTCCTTCAGGCAGTAGATGAGCCCGTCCGCCTTCAGCTTCAGATACTCCACCAGCTGCAGGGAGCAGGCAGCTAGCAGAGAGGCTCCTCTCCTCCCCAGAGCCCGGCACCCCATCTGAGCACGGCATCTCCCAGAACAAGTTGCACGGGCAGCCTACCTGCCAGAGCGTGTCAAACTTGGTGCCCTCGGGAATGCAGTACTTGCCCGCCTTGTCTTGGCTGATGAGGTAGTGGTACACCGTCTTCCCATAGATGAGGGACAGGGCGTATGTGCCCTGCTCCTTCCGCGGCCTCAGCCTGGCAGGGGAAGGGAGGGGATGTAACCCCTAGAGCCACCTGGGGGCCTCCTGCTGTGCCCCGGTTCCCCCGCAACACACCCTATGGGCTCCACACCTCAGAGCCTTGCAGAGAAGCTGCAGGGACTGGGGAAGCCAGGCCAGGCCCCCATCACCTCCAGATCTGCTGATGATGGGCCAAGTGGCAGAGGGCGGTGGAGGGGCCATGGCTGTGTTCCCAGGAAAATGCACTGTTCTCCAAGAGCCAACAGATGGCCATTCACGGGGAATACCTGACCCCCCACGGTGGACACCCAGCCACGGAGGAGGGGACACCCATCCACTGGGGAACACCTGGTCCCCCATGGCTGAACAGTTGGCCATCCACGGCCAGACACTTGCCATCCACAGAGAGATAGTCATCCACAGGCACTCATTGGGGGTACACTCGGCCATACAGTCAGCCAACCATGGGGGGCACTTGGCCTTCTACAACAGACCCAGAGCCTTCAACAGGTAGACCTAGCACCATTCTCCTGGGGAGAGAAAGCCTTTTCCACACAGACCCACACAGGTAGGCGCAGCTCCATGACAAGCTTACAGGGCACCCCTGTGCAAATCAAAACAAGTCACTTTCTCATCACGAGACTGACCAGTTCCATAATAGATGGACCTTTCCTAGAATGAGACCCTCGATTGCCTTCTGCTGGAATTTTGTCAATATAAATATATAAATCTTCCATGTCTATGATGGGAATTGAGCCCCTCAAAGGTGGTGCATTTGTGGGGTAAGAAACTGTCCCCCCATCCGCTCCAGCCCTGAGTACACACATCCCCCCTCAACACAGACCAACTTAGTGTCAGACACCGGCACCCTCGCATGAAGCCCCACAGTGACACCAGTCAGCATCCCCCACACAACAGTTTTGTCTGGGGTCACTGGCACAAGCCTCTATTGCAGGGTCAAGTGTAGCTTTACAGTGAGGAGGGAGGGCAGCTGGCCCCGTGGAAGCTGTGGAGGCCGGAAGCAGCCGACTCCTGATCTCAGGGATTGCACTGCACTACAGAAGAGCCCTTGTGATGGCCTGCGAGCTGCACCCTCCAAGGTGCAAATTCTCAGACCAGGCCTGGCCCTGCCTGTGGATGTTCATTCACTGGACAAGTCTTTACTGACAGGCCAGGCACTGTTCTCAGCGCAGGGATATGGCAGTGAGCAAGGCAGCCATGGGCCCACCTTGCAATAAGGCCCTTCCTTAGGAAATGTCCCCTGAGTGAGGGAGAGAGGTGCAGCTGTGACCATCCTCTCCATTCCTGGACAGCACGTTCCCCGAAGTACAGTGCAGTGAAGGGTGGGGCAGTTCCCAGGCTAGCCCACAACAGTCTGGAGATAACATGGAGAGATGGGAAATCAGGGCGGGGGCAATGAGGGCACACAAAAGGGCAAGGAAGAGAACCCACCACAAATTAGGAAACAAACATCCCACAGAGACAGTAGGCTGGGACAGCAGATGCAGCGCCGTCACGTGAAACCCCGCAGTGACACCAGTCAACATCTCCCACAAAACATTTCTATTTTGAGTCACTGGCACAAGCTCCTGTTAAGTGCAGCTTTCCAGTGAGGAGGGAGGGCTATTGGCCCTGGGGGTCTCAGAGCTGTGGAAGTCAGAGGCAGGTGGCAGGCTGGCCTGGAGGTGATGGTCTCCAGGGACTGTGAGAAGTGAAAACACCTCCTAAGGGTCACAACCTGAAGTTTTAAACTGACAACAGAGACTCCATGCCAAGCCACTCACCAGCAAACAGCAAACCTCCCATCTCCCCTCCTCTGTCTCTTTTTTTTTTTTTTTTTTTTTGAGACCGAGTCTCGCTCCACAGCCCGGGCTGGAGTGCAGTGGCGTGATCTCGGCTCACTGCAAGCTCTGCCTCCTGGGTCCATGCCATTCTCCTGCCTCAGCCTCCCAAGTAGCTGGGACTGCAGGTGCACACCACCACGCCCAGCTAATTTTTTGTATTTTTAGTAGAGATGGGGTTTCACTGTGTTAGATAGGATGGTCTCAATCTTCTGACCTCGTGATCCACCTGCCTCGGCCTCCCAAAGTGCTGGGATTACAGGCGTGAGCCACCAAGTCTGTCTGTCTCTTTCATTCTTTCTTCTAGAACTAATAATTTCCTCCTTATTTGTTTATTTAAACTTCCATGTGGAATACTGGGGGAAAACAGCCACAATATTAGGGAGCTCTTCCCATCAATAGGTGGGGCCTCCTCCTCTGTCTTCTGAATCAGGGCTTGACCATGTGCCTTGCTAACAGGACATTAGCAAACATGACACAAGCAGAGGCTTGAAAAATGGTTGAACATTGAGGTTGGCCTGCCCTCTCTTGCTTTTCCTGGCAGCTCTCCAAATACCATGGGAATGAGTCCAAGCTAGCCTGCTAGAGAAGGCCCATGGAGGAGAACCAAGGCACCCTACATGAGTGGCCAATAGCCATTCATGTGAGTGAGGCCATCCCAGAGACCATCCAGCTCCAGCCAATCTTCCAGCTGGCTGTGGCCACATGAGTAAGCTCAAAAACCCAGCAGAAGAGGCACCCAGCTGAACTCAGCCCAAATTACCAAGCAACCAGCCAAATTGCCAAGCAAAACAAGAGTGAATAAATGATCGGTGTTTGTTTGTTTGTTTGGGACAGAGTTTTGCTCTTGTTGCCCAGGCTGGAGTACAATGGTGCAACCTTGGCTCACTGCAACCTCCACCTCCTGGGTTCAAGTGATTCTCTTGCCTCAGCCTCCCAAGTAGCTGGGATTACAGGCACCCACCATCATGCCCAGCTAATTTTTGTATTTTTAGTAGAGACAGGGTTTCACCATGTTGGCCAGGCTGGTCTCAAACTCCCGACATTAGACGATCCGCCTGCCTCAGCTTCCCAAAGTGCTGGGATTACAGGTGTGAGCCATCACACTTGGCTGTAAATGACCATTGTTTTAAGCCACTACATTTCAGGGTATGAATACAGCACATTGTTACACAGCAAAAGCTAACCAATACACTCTTTGGAAAGAGATGTGTGAGTTCATAAAGAGCAGCTGCAAATTCCCAGATAATAACCACAAAAGCTAAGACATTGGTGTTATCACCACATATATTTCAGTACCATAAGTTCTACTTGATTTACAAAAAAAAAAAAAAATGCTAGGTAGTGGCAGTTCTTTGTTCTTGCAGTTGGAACTTGCACTTAAGCCAGAAGTACAGGCTAAAAAATCAACTTGTATCTCTGCTCTTAAAATAATACATAGAACCTATAAGAGCTACATCTGTCTCTGGTTCACGATTGTAAACAAAACAAAACAAAAGGGCTACAATTTATTTATTAAGATATTGGTTCTAAATTCCTCACATATTTGTCCTATAATCACAGCACTCCCCACAAAGTAGGCACTATTGTTATCTCCATTTTGCAGATGAGGAAACTGAGGCACAAGATTATGTATCTTGCCTAAATTGCAGAGTTGGTAAGAGATAGGAGGGGGAGCCAGGATTCAAATGCATTTCTGACTCTACAGTTAATTGCTACCTAGGACTAACACCCAGCTCTGTCACAGATTATCTGTGAAACCCTGAATAAACTGCTTATCCTCGCTGTGCCTCGGTTTCCTTATGTATAAAATGAGGTAACTGGTCTAAATCATAACTTCTTGACCTGAAAAGGGTTCTAAGGACGAGGTTCAGGACCAACCATGATCTCATATAACTGTCTGCAAAGTCTTTGAGGTGAATATGCTTTGGGGGATTGTGAAAGGAGCAGTCAGTAGGATTCCAAAGAGGTCTGCAGTCCAGGAGAGGATAAGAAACACTTGACAGGCCAGGCGCGGTGGCTCACGCCTGTGATCCCAGCAATTTGGGAGGCCAAGGCGGGTGGATCACCTGAGGTCAGGAGTTCGAGACCAGCCTGGCCAACATGGCAAAACCCTGTCTCTACTGAAAATACAAAAATTAGCCAAGCGTGGTGGTGCACGCCTATAGTCCCAGCTACTCAGGGAGGCTGAGGCAGAAGAATCACTAAACCCGGGAGGCAGAGGTTGCAGTGAGCGAAGATTGCACCACTGTGCTCCAGCCTGGGTGACAGAGCAAGACTCTGTCTCAAAAAAAGAAACACTTGACAATGTACTCTCTTAAAGGCCCTTTCCAGGACAAGTTTCTTTTAAAGTCGAATCAGCCGGTTCCATAAAATTGCTGCCAATAACACAGAAACAAGCCAGCATTGGCAGTGCACAGCCCTGGGTACAATTAAATCTGTTCTTCGGCAACCATGAACTGTGATCAATGGTAGGCGTGGTCCTGGTCTTCACTCTAGGCCTGAGTAGCACGTGTCTTTCTCTCACACCCCAAGCCCTGAGAAAGCAGTTATAGACTACAGGAACCACAAGAAGAAGCTCTCACAGTTTCTGTCCAAAGCGTACCTTGCCTAATTTTCCAGGAGCCTGGCTCTTTGTAGCTGCTTCGTCTCTTGACGTTTACCCAGAATGAGTCATTGTCCTCATACCACTGTGCCAGCTGTGGACCTCACTGCCAGCCACACGCTCTATGCTGTGCCCAGATGCTGGGCATCTCTCCTTCCTAGCCACACCCTCCCACCGCCAACGCTTGTCCTATTTGCCTGGGAGACTGCACGCCAGTTTGATATGCAATGCACAGACAGCTGCTTAAAGCTGTTGGCCCTGGCTCTCCTGAGACTCCTCTAATCTCAGCAGACTGGTTGACTCTAAGCCTGTCATGAGCTCTGCTGTGTTACACAAAAACTGTTTGAACTTTTCCTTTGGGCAGTGAAACCTCTGCCACACAACATTGTGTGTGGAAGCCTAAGATAGCAAACAGATCAAAGCTGAGCGGCTGTCGTCATTCAAGCTGGAACAGGGGCCCAAATCCCACCTGCTCAACCCTTCTCTCACTCTCCCACCCCCTAGAATCCTCTGCCACTCTCAGGAGGCTTTAGGGAATCTGGGGGAAATTTTTAAGCCATTGGAGTGGCAGAATCATGACCTGTATGTGTGTGTGTGAGTGCAAGATGAGGAAGAGAGATGGGGGTGGGGAGGGAAAGAGAGAAGAAGAAAGGAAAACTGAGACAGAAGAGAGGCAGAGATGGTGGGGATGAAAAGCTACATTGGGGATGTAGGGGGAAAACAGAGAAGAAACTCAGATTATAAAATCAAAGAAGACAGATGAATTTACATTTTATGAAAGAGAAAGCAGAGACGGAAGGAAAGAATCAGCTACATCAATAGGAAGGGTTTAGAGCCTTCTTCGCGTGTCCAGCCTGGGGAGAGCCCCTGGACTCTCAGGCACCTGGGGTAGCATGTAATGGACGAGGGGGATATGAGCATGTGAGAACGTGGGAGCAAACATTACTAACATCTTGGCGAGGGTCACACCTGGGGTGGGGTGATGCAACATCTGGAGGAAGGTGGGTAATACCTGGACCAGCCATCACCATGTACTGCAAGATGGAGCCCTCCAGATGCAGCAGGGCAGGCCCTGCCCTCAGGCTGACAGTCCAAAAGGAAAGAGAGACAGCCCCCAACACCCATGTTCACAATGCCCATACCTTCACGACAACTTGCTTCATCCAATCCTACGACCAACCGTTTGCAAAAATGGCTCCCTGCATTCCTCTCCCTTAAGGAATCCCTTCCCTACAGTGACTTTGGTTTTGGTCGTATGACTTGCTTTGTCCATTAGGACATCAGTGACATTACACAAACAAAGGCTTGAACTTGCCCTGTCCTCTCTGACTGATCTTGGGAACCCTGCACCACCACCACACAAACAAGCTTCAGCTAGCTTGCTGGATGATGGCTGCACTGGGCCAGCTCATCCCCATCACCCAGGTGACACTGAGCCAATGGCCAGTCATGTGAGTGTGGCCATCCCAGCCTATTCAGGCCCAGCCTAGATGACCCAAACCAGAACTGCTTAGTTAGCTCACAGAATCATGAAGAGCAATAAACTGTCATTTTGAGCCAATAAATCTTAGGGCTGCTTGTTATGTAGCAAAAGCTAACTGATACAAATGCAAAGGTTTCCTCTTAGAGAAAACAGCCCTGTCCTGTTCAGAAGTTGTGCCGGCAACTGAGTATTACGTGCAACATGTATCTAAGAGCTCCCTCAGAAGCCTTGGAAACTCCACTCCAATTTACAGCCTAAATCTGAATCTGTATGGTAGGGTGAAAAGAGTTATTTTATCAGCCCACAACAGAATCTTGGAGAGGGAGCTGCATCTTGCAAGAGGCCTGCAGGCAATCTACAGAAACTTCACATGGGTGAGGAAAATCAAGGGATGTGGTCATTTCCTCCAAGTGGGTTGACCTCAGGAGAGGAAACAGCCCTGGGGGAGGCAGATGACCCAAGGGATCTGCTGGGCAGGGGCTCAGGCCAAGAAGCACTCACGAGAAGGAAGGCCCAAGAATTGTCCCCACAGATTTCTTGGGGGAAAACACTGGGCTTCCTGAGGTCATGGGAAAGAGGCAGCACCAATTTATCTGTGTCTTGAGGCCTGAGTGACCTCAGCTGCACCTGGATACCATCTGTTACAGAAAAGATCCCGTGTCCAAACCAGAGAGCAACAGCCCCAGCAGGGCTGTCAAACACTCAGCAGAGTTTTAAAAAGAGATTTTCAGAGATTTTTTTCACATTAACAAACTCACAAATAGCTACATGGCCTCAGCTGTGGCTCAGACACGCACGTTCACCCACATATAAAAGCTAACATTTACCGCATTTTTCCTATGTCAGTTACCATACTCTCGATTCACACGTATTAATTCATGTAATCCTCATAGAGGATCCTGAGGGGAGGTACTGCTGTCAACCACAGGACAGTTAGAGGGGGCTGCTTCAACACTCTCCCGGGGATCCCACCTCACTTGGGGGAAAAGCTAAAGTCCCCGCCCTGCCCTCACCTCCTCCCATTCTCCCCCTCACTTACTCAGCTCCAGGCACATGGCCTCCACAATGTTTCTGGAACACGCCAAATAGACTCCTGCCTCCTGATCTTTGCACTTGCCATTGCATTTTCCAGGAACACCCTTCCCCCTGAAAGCTGCACAGCTCACTCCTCAGCTTCTTTCCCTTCCTCAGAAGTCACCTTCTCAGGAAGGCCTCTTCTGACCACCTAATCTAAAATTGCAACCGCCTCCCCACCTGCACACACGGCGCTTACCACCATCTGACAGGGTCTCTATTTTATTGATTCCTTTTCTTGTCTACCTGCCCCATGAGGACAGGCACTGTGTCTTTTTGGCTCACTGCCGTGTGCTCAGTGCCTGGTACACAGTAGGTATTCAGTAAATATTTGTTGATTGAAGGAGGGGAAACTGAGGCAGGCAACCACAGTCCGCTACTTGCCCAAGGGCCACAGCCAGCAGGTGGCGGAAGCGGGATTCCAAGCCAGGCCAAGGGACCGAGTCTGGAGGCTTTCCTAGTCACTACCTCTACTTCCCCATGTGCAAGTCCCTTTGCACATCAGAAACACACAACCCACTTGCACATGTGAGCACAGGGACACCCTTACGGCCCAACTGCACACTCACGTCTGCCCCAGTCCCCAGGATCCCTGCCAACGAGCCCCAATCCTCACCGCACCCAAATCCCGGGCCCCACATACAGGAACTTGCCGTCGGTCTGCGCCCCAGAGTAAAGTTTGCGCTCGGCCTCCTCACGCGTCAGGCTGCTGTGGTACCAGGGCATCCGCTCGTGGGCCGTCGTAGCAATGAGCTTCTCCACCTGCGGGGCCTGGCTGATGATGGCCTGCTCCAGGGCCTCGCCCTAGAAAAGGAGAGGCGAGGAGGTCTGTAGGTGTGGCCAAGTGCTCGCCACAGGAACCCCCTTCCGGGAGCCCTGTCCCAGAGGACTCCCCACCCCACCCAGGCGTCCCTAGCGCGTGTTAGGCAGGTTTTCGAGGACTACCTCCGCGCCATCTCCGTGGTCCCCTCCCCAATCCAGCTAGGGAGGAACCACCCCCACCTTCCAGCGCGGCCCCAAGCGCATCTCCAGCTTGAAGACCTAATTCAGGTAGTTGTGCATGGTGGTGTCACTCAGGCTGTGGACGACTACTGCCCATCTTCCCCAACAGCCACCCTACCCTAAGGGCTCACCCTAGCCCCGCGCACCCTCCTCTCAGCCCCGCCCCCATTCCAAGCCTCGCCTTCGCCCGGCCCAGTGCGTCCCTCTACCTTCCCATCTGGCATAGTAGAGCACCATAGCATCGCTCAGCCTGCGGAAGGCGACCGCCACCACGGAGCCCCTGCCTCTGAGGCCTCCTTTCAGGTTCTTCCCCAACCAGTGCCCCACCTCTCCAGCTTCCAAAGGGGACTGAATGGGGAAGACGACCTTTTCCTCCCTCCTATCCCCCCAAAACCCTCGACTGCCCCTCTTCGGCCACGCCCCTCCAGACCCCGCGCCCCAGGCTGCGCTCTCACCTCCAGCTTCCACGTCTGGCGCACGTAGTCACGCACCATGGCGTCTCGCAGGCAGTCGAAGACCCCCGGCTGCGGCTCGAGGCCCGACGGCCGGTTGCACGGCTTGCGCAGGTTGCAGGGCAGCCCGTCGGGGTCGCGCGAGTAGAACTCGCAGAGCTCTGCCGGTCCACAGTGCGCTTTGCCGCCGGCAATGGCGTAGGTGCCGTTGAGCTGGCGCTCGATGGGAAAGTGGTGGAAGCGCACATCGTGCACGAGCGACAGCACATAGCCGCCCAGCGAGCGCAGGCACTGGCGCAGCAGGAAGAGCCCGTCCGCCATGCCCGCCAGCTTCAGGTGCTCCTCGGCCTCGGCACGCGAGATGCTGCCGTAGAAGAAGGGCAGGTGCGCCGCGGGGTCTGGCATCGCCCCTGGGCCTCCCGAAACCTGCGGGTTCACAGAGGGTCGGAGGCACGTCAGGGCCTTCCTGAACCTGGTGCGTTGGGCCCAAAGACGGCGCGAGAGACGCCAAGTGGAGGGCATCAGTGCCGCAGACTGAGCTCGCCAAGGGGGCAGAGCCTGCTCTGTGCCAGAGTCAACCTGGAGAGAAGCCGCAGCCTGCTGGGCACAGATCGAGAAGTCCCAAACCCCCATCTGACTTTCCAGAGACATTATGTGGACGCCCAAGCACGCCAACTGGTCCCCAAGCACCCACACCTGTACCCATCTCTTCATGTCCCAACCACGTGCTGAATTATTGTGTTTCAGGCCCGGTGCTGGGGATATGCACGCTTGAGGCAGGCGCGGTCCCACCCCGTCCTCCCGAAGGCAACACTCTAAGGAGGGAGAGCCGTGAGATAAACTGAGAAAGAAACAAAAATAATAATTACAGATTGAGGTCAGCATTACAAAGGAAATAAGTGGAGTGACATTAAGAGAGAGAAGAGGTGGCTCTAGCTAGGATGGTCACCTTCTCCAAGGAGCTAGCATTTGAAGGGAGAGCTGAAGGAGGAGGAGCCAACTTTTCAAAAAGCGCGCGGGACAGCGCATCAGGCAGAGAGGACTGCATGCGCAGAGGCCCTGAGGCCGCACCCAGCTTTGCTCACCCAAGGGCCCTACCCCTCAGCCTCCCTTGTCCCTTCCGCTGACCCTTTCCCCTCGGCCTTAGCAGGCACCCCTCGCCCTGCCCTCTGCCTTCCTTGGCAAGTTTCTACAGAGCATACGCTAATTGGAATATCCATCCCTAGGGGACTGGTTAAATGCATTAGGGTTTAATCTCAAAGTGAACTCTGATACAGCTATTAAACAAAACGTGTGATTGAGGGGAGGAGGAATTAAGGCTATTTAGACAGATGGATATCTGGTAAGGCAGATAACTTAAAATTGCCTGCCCTCAACTTTCTGGGGTGATGGTGACGTCCTGTATATTCACAGGGCTTGGGTTATGCAAGTGTCTGATTTTCCGAAAACTAAGAGAATGTACACTTAAGATGTGTTCATTCCATTGTATTTGCCCTCCCTCAATTAAAAAAGAAACATAAAATATTGAACCCTAGGTAACGATCTGCTTGCAGAAATGTTTAGGAGTGATGGGAACTGAGGACTGTAATCTAATTTGAGAGCATCCCAAAAATAACACTGACCGATGGACGAACAGAGCGAGAGGGATGGATAAAAGGATAGACAGCCAGATAGACACAGTTGATTTCTGTCATTCTCTGCAGTTCTATAAAGTCAACGAAAACACTGAATTAGCAATATAGAACTATCCCTCCTAGGGGAAATACAGAGTTAGGTTCCTAGGAAACTGTTTACATTTTCATCAACTGATCAAGACATAACCTTGTTTTTTTGTGAGTTTCTGTTTAAAGGCACCTTATTTAATAGACATGGTTGATTCACTAACATTGAACTCTTAGCCAACAGCACTATAACTATAAGCTTATCTGACATGTTTTCTCCATAAGGCACATACAGCATTCTTGCCCTTAGGAATGCTAGATAGCATTTCAGCACTATGGTTGGGGGCCATGTCAACCACTGAAATCACCAACAAAAAGCACAAACATTCAAAATATGTGAGGCCGAGTGCAACGGCTCATGCCTGTCATCCAGCACTTTGGGAGGCCAAGGCGGGTGGATCACTTGAGACCAGCAGTTCGAGACCAGCCTGGCTAACATGGTGAAACCCCGTCTCCACCATAAATACAAAAAATTAGCCAGAGGTGGTGGCGGGCACCTGTAATCCCAGCTACTTGGGAGGCTGAGGCAGGAGAACCTCGTGAACCCAAGAGGCGGAGATTCCATTGAGCCGAGATCAGGCCACTGCACTCCAGCCTGGGCAACAAGCGCGAAACTCTGTCTTTAAAAAGATAAAATAGGCCGAGCGTGGTGGCTCACGCCTGTAATCCCAGCACTTTGGGAGGCCAAGGCAGGTGGATCACAAGGTCAGGCATTCGAGACCATCTTGGCCAACACAGTGAAACCCCGTCTCTACTAAAAATACAAAAAATTAGCCGGGCATGGTGGCAGGTGCCTGTAATTCCAGCTACTCGGGAGGCTGAAGCAGAATTGCTTGAACCTGGGAGGCGGAGGTTGCAGTGAGCTGAGATCGCGCCACTGCCACTGCACTCCAGCTGGGGCGACAGTGCGAGACAGCAATCTCAAAAAAAAAAAAGATAAAATAAAAAAACAAAATATGTGGCACCACCAAATAGAACATGAAAAAGATTGGCCGGCTGCGGTGGCTCACGCCTCTAATCCAGCATTATGGGAGGCCGAGGCGGGTGGATCACAAGGTCAGGAGACCAAGACCATCCTGGCTAACACAGTGAAACCCTGTCTCTACTAAAAATACAAAAAAAAAAAAAAAAAAAAAAAAATCAGCCAGCCATGGTGGCGGGCGCCTGTAGTCCCAGCTACTCGGGAGGCCAAGGCAGAAGAATGACATGAACCCAGGAGGCAGAGCTTGCAGTGAGCTGAGGTCACGCCATTGCACTCCAGCCTGGGCGACAGAGTGAGACTCTGTCTCAAAAAAAAAGAACATGAAAAAGACACTTATCTGCAGCATGAGAGTGTTTGCCTTGTGCAGCCTCGGTGGGAAAATGTGTATCGAGTGATTCATATTTTTGCCACTCTGTATGTCTGAGAATGACCACAAAAGTGCCATGTTGGTTTTAGGGTTTCAGATAAATTTAACAAGTAGGCAAACTCACAAATAAGAACTCCGCAGTGTTGATCAACTGTATGTGATAAAGCAATTATAGCAAATCATAAACTGGAGAATCTAGCAGGTGAGTTATTGGTGTACAGTTAATTCTTTCTATTTTCTGCATATTTGTAAGTTTTCATAGAATGTTGGGAAAAAATACCTCTCCATAGCGGTTCTGAGTTGTTTCTCTACTAACATAGGCCCAGCAAGGCTACTCAGGCATAAGTTTGCATTGGAGAATTGACTTTGAGTGCCCTTCTTAGTTATGCAAATGCAACCAAGGGGTAAAATGAATGCTTTTGTGAAAGCTCCCTCTGCCCTGGGTGTCCAGAGATGGGCTCTGGAGCTGAAAGGAAGGTACTGGAATGGGAATCAGGTGAAGTCTGGGTCAGAGTAGCTAGAGGAGGGGCCAGGATCTGCACTGTAACCCGATTGATTGTGACAGTGAGGTTGGGAGGGCCAAGCTTGAGGGGGGTCCTGGATGTCCCAACAGTTACAGACAGGTGGGTGTTCCAGAGATTCATAAGGGACTGCATTTGTGGCTCCACCTGGAGAAAAAGGTCACCATTCCACAAGAGTGTTTTTAAAAAGTCATGAAGCGGCTGGGCGAAGTGGCTCACGCTTGTAATCCCAGCACTTTGGGAGATCAAGGCGGGTGGATCACATGGGGCCAGCAGTCTGAGACCAGCCTGGCCAACATGGTGAAACCCCGTCTCCATTAAGATACAAAAATTAATGGCTGGGCCCGGTGGCCCACACTTTGGGAGGCCGAGGCAGGCGGATCACCTAAAGTCAGGAGTTTGAGACTAGCCTGGCGAACATGGTGAAACCCCGTCTCTATTAAAAATACAAAAAAATTAGTCGGGCGTGGTGGTGGGCGCCTGTAGTCCCAGCTCCTCAGGAGGCTGAGGCAGGAGAATCGCTTGAACCCAGGAGGTGGAAGTTGCAGTGAGCCGAGATCGCACCACTTCACTCCAGCCTGGGCAACAGAGCAAAACTCCATCTCAAAACAAAACAAAACAAAACAAAACAAAAAAACCCATGAAGGCTCCTAGGTATTCACTCTAAAGAAATGGAAATTTACATTCACACAAAAACCTACACAGGAACATTTATAGCCGTACTAGCCACAGTTGCCAAAAATTAGGAATAACTTACATGTTTCCCAACAGATGAATAAGATACACTGTGGGACATGCCTACAGTGGAATTCTACTCCGCGGTAAGTGGAACAGCATACGGAGACACGCAGTTCCGCAAACGCATCGCAAAGGCCTCAGGCTGGATGAAAGAAACCAGGTTCCAAGGGCTACGAATTGTGTGATTCCACACACAACTATAGGGACGGAAAACGCACCAGAGGTTGCTGGGTGCTGGGGGCCGGAGAAGGAGTGACGACAGAGGGCAGGACGGAATTTGGGGGAATAGTCTGTATCTTGATTGATGTGGTGGTAGTCTCTGGGCTGTATGCATTTGTCAAATCTCAGAATTTTTCACTAAAATGATATAAAAATTTTATTGCATGTAAATTATACCCCAAATTTTTAATTAAGGGGGAAAGGAACTGGAAGATACAGACACAATGGACACTAAAAATGCTAATGAAAATAGGAAAAGTGATTAAGGGCTGTCTACACTCCTGTCCCTATGTCCTTGACTCCCAGCCTCTCAGCCAGACCTGGTCTGCGCCCCCCCCCCAGGCTGTTCTCCAGCACTGATAGCACCCCTGGCAGTCTGTAGGCACCAGACAAGCACTCTGTGACCTCCTCAATCCTGGGCCCCCTGAATGGCCGACACCTATGACTCCTCCCTCCTGCTTGAGCCCCACAGACCTCTCTGGTCCTTCACAAACTCCCTGGCTTGCCTCTGCCCTCTGACCATCCTGCTCACTCTCCTTCCCCCACCCCCGTCCCCTTACTTGGGTCATCCTGTCAGTAGCTGTACATGCTGCCACACCCACCTCTCCCAGAGCCCAGATCTCTCGCCCGACTGAGGTCGGTTGGTGCTGGCATCATCTCCTTTGATCTCCACCAACTGTTTCCATTAATACAACCAACCTAAGATCCAGATGGCATGCTCATGCTGCCTGTGGCTGGCTGAACCTCACAGTCTATTTCCACAGAGCTGAGCCCCAGAGTCTGCAAGTTGCTCCTTGGCAATTCTTCCCCAAGGCCTCCCTTGCTCAAGACCCTAATGGCTACTGCATTGGATCTCCCCAGCCCTCTGCCCCAGCTGAGCTGTGCTACTTGCCTTCCTTCAAATGGATGTTCATACTTTCATCCACACAGCACCCTCCACCTAGTGCACCCTTCCCTCTCCCCTCCATCTTCTCCAACCCAGCCAGCCCATCCTTGAAGACTCATGGAGCCACTCCCATAAAGCATGAGGATGCAGGATGAGGCAGAAAACTGAGGGCTTGTCCAAGGACCATGGGTGCAGAGTAGCAAAGCTGGTCTCTGGGGCAGGAAGCTGTGGCAGGAAACTGTCGCCAACACAGTTTGAGAAGCTCCTCCCCACGTGGCCGCAGGTGCAGCCTGGGTAGCTAGAAGTGGGTTAGGGCAGAAGAGGAGATGAGGGAGGCTCAGTGCCCAGCCCAGGGCTGCCATCCATGACCCGAGGCTAAGGAGTCCCAGAGGCAGGCTCTCTTCCTGTGCATCTCGGCTGCGTCCCAGCTTCCCTGTCCCACTGCCCACAAGGACAACGGTAATCACAAGCACCACCCCACACACACAGGTCGGGTGGTGGGCGCCTCCTCTTCCACCCCTGGGGCCTTTCTGGACTGTCCTCACTAGTAAAACATGGGGCCCAAGTTCCCAGGGACCCCATGGCCAGAGATGCTGGGGAGGCCAGAGAAGGTGGGCAGAGGTGGCAGAGATGAAAAGTCCGGGGGCAAGAGGTGGGAGCATTTGCCACGCAGCGGCTAGCCGGAGTGTCTGCTGTCAGTGAGCTGCACCGATCTAGAGCTCCCCGGGGTGACCCCAGACCCCAGGCAGGGGATCAAATGTTTCTGTTCTCAGCTGTGTCCCTGCAGACTCGTGGCCCTCCCAGAAGACACACCCACCATGAGACCCACCCCAGCCCTCGACCTGCCTGGGCCATCCCGACGGACAGGACTTGGGTTAGGAGCCGCGTCCCTCAGTCCCCAGTGAGCCTGTTCATTCCCCAAGCCTGGCCTATGGTTCTCCCTAGGCTGACCCCAGTCAGCTTCCTCTTGAGCTCACAGTTCAGAGATCCTAGTTTGGCCTTCCCAGAACTTACAGCCCCTGGATCACAGCACAGAGATCACAGCAGAGCAGCCACGGGGCACCTGCCCCACACTCACAGCCCAGGCCCTGGGAGGATGATGGGAGGAAGCCTTGGAGCCTGGTCAGAAGGACCTGCCTGGAATCCCACCATTCACCCAGCCTCCCTGGGTAAAGGCAGTGCTAGATTACAGCTGTTCCAGAGAGATCAGATTCCCCAAACATGCTTCAAAGGAAAAAAGAGTCAAGGGGTCAAATACAGTTTCAAATGCTGTGAAAAGCACATTAAAGGCTCCGAGAAGACCACATGGAAGGACCTCTTTCAGCGTCACTTAATTCCCACACCTATTCAGCAAAGCCTTGAAGGTCTACTGTTTCACAGAACATTCCCTGGGCATCAGAAGCCCCCATTACATGCCCATCGTCAGAGCAGAGGTATCACACCAAAGCCACTGGACCTGGTGGGAGCGGGCAGGAGCAGCACAAGCTCCACATGTCCCCCCAGCCAGAGGCTCCACGTGTCCCCCCAGCCAGAGGCTCAGAGGCTCCTCGTGTCCCCCCAGCCAGAGGCTCCACATGTCACCCCAGCCAGAGGCTCAGAGGCTCCGCATGTCCCCCCAGCCAGAGGCTCCGCATGTCTCCCCAGCCAGAGGCTCCGCATGTCCCCCCAGCCAGAGGCTTGACATGTCCCCATCCAAGGCTCTGCAGGAGCAGGGCCCCAGCCCCTCACCGCCCCACCTCCTCCTACTGCCCCCCCACCACCCTGTTCCCACTCCAGCTCCTGGCTCTCTCTCTCTGAACCCCTAGTCCTCACCTGAGACCCTAAGTCCCTCTGAAGCCATGTTCCCTGCTCCTTAATCCCCCAGCTGTGCTCGGGCCGCCTGTGCCCACCAACAGAGGCAGCATAGGCACTGGTCGTCAGCACACGCCAGCTTGGTGACGCCATGAGCCACACAGCCGCAGTTAGCCATGGCTGCAGGCTCCTCCTTCATATGTCTTTCCTGACTGCAGGGATTGGATTCAAATCATGGAATCGTGGACCCACCACATGGTCACAGTGCAGCCTCAGCAGCGAGTGAAGCTCGCCAGACCTCCTCCGGAAAGCAGGGCCAGTGAAGGTGTCCAGCACTGGGGCTGCAGGGACTCCCTGGGGTGAGACTTGCTGGCCCCCGTCATGCCATCACATCCTCTTCTCTGCTTGAAGCCCTCTAGGCTCCCACCTCACTCGGGGTGAAAATGCAAGTCCTCAGGGTGGCCCCCAAGGCCCTTCATGATGCCCATCACCACCCCCCGCCACTCACTCCCCTCCAGCCACACGGGCCTCCTCATGTTATTCGTTCAGGTCCCTCGGACAAACCAGGCATGGTGCAGCCTCAGGGCCTTTGTACTGTCTGTTCCCTCTGCCTGGAGACTCTTCCTCCAACACCTTCCACTTTATTCAGGTCTCTGCCTAAGTCACCTCCTCCAGGAGGCCTTCCCTGACCTCCCTCTCCAAAATAGCCTCTCCTTCTCTCTCTAGCCCTGACCCAGCTTTGTTGTTCTTCACCACCTAAAAGATGATATTGTATCTATTGGTGACATAGTACCTTTGTCCCTGCCAGAATGTAAGCACCACGGGAGTGGAGCCTTTGTCTTGTTCTCCTACCTATACCAGCATGGCACAGAGGAGGTGCTCAATATACCAGGTACCTACAAAGGTCTGCAGTCCACTGGGATGGGTGGGGATGCCTCTGAGCACCGGTGGAACCTGACACCTGGGAAGGGGTGAGGGGCCACAGGGGCTTCCTTGGGTGGAGGATGGCGGGAGAGGAGGGGCCCATCCTGAGGATCCTGGCCACAGGCTATTCCCTCAGCCCAGAACTGCGCTGCATCCTTCTACTGGGCCTCCGGCTTCAGGCCTCCTCCGTTGTCCCATCCTCCCAGAAGCATTCCATGAGCCCTGCCCCCTCCCCAGCCTGGGTCAGGCACCTCCCCTAGGCTTCCAGGGTCCCCATCCTCCCACATCACAGCCCTGATGGCCTCTGTCTCTGCTCCTCAGTCCCTCACCAGGCTGAGCTCCCCGAGGCAGGGCCCACGGCTCTGTCTTGTTTTCTATGGAAGCTCCTGCTTCCTCCCCACAAATATTTGTCAAGTGTGTAAGGACAATCACAACAGCCTCTGTGCTGGGGACTGCACTACCCTTTGCGAGCATTAGCCATTTATTCTAATTCTCACCACAACTACATTTGGTGGGAACTGTTATCCCACTCCTCAGCTAAAGAAACTGAGGCTCGGAGAGGTCAATGTCACTCTCAGAACATGCAGCCTGCAAGGGGCCACCAGGATTTGAACTCAGGTCTGTCCAATGCAGCAGCCAGCACTAACCACTCCAGCAAATGTCTATTAGGAGACCCTGGAGAGCTGGGCTGGTGCGGGGTCAGGGTCAGATTCCCCAACCCAGCACACTCTCCAAGTGTCTGTTGATTGAACAATGCCCTTCCACCGCCCCTCCAGTGAGGCCCCCAACTCCGGCCTCCACTGCCTGTGTGACCTCAGCAAGCAGCGGTCCCTCTCTGGGCCTCAGGCTCTGTGACTGTAAAAGGGAGATGGGAAAAGGCGGTGTGAGTCAGGAGGATAGGGGCTGATAGAGACAATGGAACAGGGTGGGACTGTCCTGGGCCTTGTAGGCTGTTCACAGGATTCCTGTCCTGGACATGCTGGATGCCAGTAACACCCGCTGGGTCACAACCCAAACTGTCTCCAGGCACTATCAACTGTCCCAGGGAGACGGGAGGAGGTAAAATTGGCTCTGATGAGAATGGCTGCCTTAACCCTGTACCTTGGGGTGGGGCAGGGAGTGGTCAGCACGGGGTGGTCTGGGTGCTGCAGCCCCGGAGAGCATACAGGAACTGTGGAGTCCAGAGCCCGAGGCCACCCAGAGCTAGTGAGGATAATGAGGGTTTTAGTGAGACCTTTCTGCAGCACCTGTATGTGCCGGGCAGTGTGGATACAGTCACTCTCTTTATCCTCCCGAGAGCCCTGGGAGGGAAGCACAGAGAGATGCGGTGACTGGTCCAGTCACACAGCTGGTGAGTGGCAGAGCCAGAATGTGAAGCCAGGCCCCCAGGCTCCAGAGTGTGCACATCAACACCACCCCCGCAACACTGCCAGGGCAGTGGGGCTGAGGATGGAGGGCAGGTGTGAAGAGGAAAAGGAAGCTCTGGATTCAGCAGGAGGCAGCTTCACAGGTGGCACCTTAGGAGTCCCTGACCCTGATCTCTCAGCAAGGCATTATTAAACACCTCCTGTCTGCCTACTGTTCCAACCAAGACGAGAGTAATGAATCATCTCGAGCTGCTCACCTCATGAACTCCTGTTCCTTCCTGTCGGGGATGCTTCCTACCTGGGACACATTTCCCAGCCTCTCGCCAACAGTCAGGAACCAGGCGCCTGCCAGGTGCCCATATCTGCATGTGCATTTAACAGATGCACAAACTGAGGTCAGAGAGGCCAAGCAACTTGCCGAGAACACACAGCAGTTGAGGAGAACTCGGTGTTTTGCTCTTTCTCTCTCCAGGTCTTCCTCTAACCTGAGCTCGCCTACAAGTGGCTCAAGCCTGCCCTGGACTCCTCACAGGAATCACAGCATTCTGCTGATGGAGCTCACGGCCCTGGTGAGCAGCCCCCTCATCTTCACAGAGTGCACATGCGCTTTCTCTGGAGGTTTCTCTGCCTCCGAGAGCCAAGGATGCAGCCAAACAGGGCCCAGCAGGAGCCCAGGGACTGAGCAGGCCTCACCGTGTCCCCTGAACAGCCCCGCTCGGCCAAGCCTCTGGAGGGGGAGCTGCTTCCCTCAGCGTGGCCACAAGCCCCGTCTGCCTCCATCTCCAGCCAGTCACCACCCAGCCCAGTCCTCCAGCTCTCCTGGTCCTCCCAGCAACCTCCTGACTCCCAGTTAATATTCTGTCTTCCTCCTCCAGACACAGCCCACCATGGAGACGGTGGCCAGGTGCCACTCCACCCAGGCACCACTTACCTGGGGACGTACAGGTGGATGTCCAGGCAAACAGGCCACTTGCGGGGTCTCTGGTCCCAATGCCAATGGAGAGCCGGTTCTGGGTGAGGAATCGGGGCTTACAAAGCCGGTTTGGATTTCCCTGCAGCCCAAGCCCCCAGCCTGAGAGGGAGGCCCTGCCGCTCACACTCTCCGCACACACCCCGGGGGAGGATGTCACACCCCGCCAGGGTTTCTCACTCATGGATGGGGGGGGTTCATCCTCTGCCAGGTCTCCCAGAGCCCCCTGGGGTGGCCCTGGTGGCAGGACACAGGCAGAAGGCCCGAGGACAGCCGCTTACCTGAATGCCCCAGCAGCAGCTCTGAGGCCCACGGTGGGCCAGGCCTGCCCGGAAGGCCTGGTGTCTGCTGAGCTCCGGCAAGCAGGCTTGTCTGAAACTAACCTATTTCCTGGATGCGAAGACAGGAAAGGGGGCTGTGTTTGATGTTTACATCAAAGTCACAAAGTGCTGTGCTCAAGGAAAATCACAGGCCACGTGCTCCAGGGAGGCAGAGGGCATTTCCGGGGCCCAGCACTGCCTGCCCAGCTGCAGGATGGGACTGAGAGATGGGAATGAGGCTAAGCAAAGGCAGGGTTTCAGGAAGGACGACTCCAGCAGCAGGAACCGTCAGAAGGGAGGAAGCCTGCATACCTGGAACCGGAGGGTAGGCAGCAGTGGTGGGAAGGAGGGGAGTCCCAGGGCTCATGGAAACTGGAATGCCCCCATTTTCCCCTCAAAGGGGCGTCGCCCTGGGGCCTGCACCAGCTAGACAACCCAGAGGAGTGATTTGTTTATTCCACAGGCAGGTTAGAGCTGGAGGGAGGAGAAACCCACTGAGTCAGCCCATACCCCGAAGGTGAGAACCCCTTCTGTGCCAGGCATCTGGATGGCAAGGACAGCCTGCCCTTGCTCTCCAGTGGCTCGCAGGCTTGTTGGGGGCAGCTGAGTCCACAGGGAGCCAGGGCTGGGAGGCCGGAAGCCTGGGCACTGTGTGTCCCCAGAGTATCCCCAAGCCAGCCTGGAGGATGTCAGGGATGCGTTCCAGGAGGAGTCAGCCACCCAACCGAGACACAGAGCCAGGGCATCCCCAGTGCTAGCCCGGCCCACCTGGGACCTTTCCCACGAAGCTGAACCTGGCTGAGTGCCATCCCGCTGTGGCCACCACCTCCTCCTCCTCTTCCTCTCCTCCCTTCCCTCACCCTGTGCACCCCCTACCCTTGGGCCTGGGGCCACACCTCATGCACTCTCTCAGAGAGGGGCCTGCAGAGCCACTCCCTCGGCTCCATCTCCCCTCTAGTGCCCCAAGGCCTCTGGGAGCCCCTTGCCCACCACCTCCTTGCTTTCTTGGGCACTAAGGGAGTCGTCACAGCTCTCCTGTCTGTGGGGCCTCAGAGACCTGTGTGGAACTGCCCTGGGCCCACTGTGGAGACTCCTAAAGCTTTTCTTCTTGGGGTCCTGCTGCCCTTGTTAAGTGGGCTTGTGATACCCTACCTTGTTTTAACCTGAATTGACTCTCCCTTAGCTAAGAGAGCCAGACAGACTCCATCTTGGCTCTTTCATTTGCAGCCCCTTACCCACCCCGCTTCCTCAAGGACTTAATTTGTGCAAGCTGACTCCCAGCACATCCAAGAATGCAATTAACTGATAAGATACTGTGGCAAGCTATATCCGCAGTTCCCAGGAATTCGCCCGGTTAATAGCACCCAGAGCCCCGGCGTTTGTGTCCGGTTGATAACGCCCAAAGCCCCGTGTCTATCACCTTGTGATAGATTTTAAGCCCCTGCACCTGGAACTGTTTGCTTTCCCGTAACCATTTATCCTTTTAACTTTTTGCCTGCTTTACTTCTGTAAGATTGTTTTAGACCCCCACCTGTCCTTTCTAAACCAAAGTATAAAAGAAAATCAAGCCCCTTCTTTGGGGCTGAGAGAATTTTGAGCACTAGCTGTCTCTCAGTCGCCAGCTAATAAAGGACCCCTGAATTCGTCTCAAAGTGCGGCGTTTCTCTGTAACTCGCTCGGTTACAACAGGCTCAGCTCCCCAGTCTGCCTGAGGATCCCCTCACACCCTACCCCGAAGCCTCCTTGGGGACCTCCTTTCTGGCCCTCTACTATCCTCTGGCCGCCTGAATCCCCTTTAGAAAATCTGAGTTCCGGCTCTAGGCTACTTTTCTCCTTCATACAGCCCCCTCCAAAATGGTGTTTGCTAGCAGCCTCCCTTTTCCCCAGCGGCATCTTGAAACTCCAGGTGCAGCAAGCATCCCTTCACATCCATGCTGGACGCTCATTTCTTGGAGTATTGAGAGAAAAAGACACCGGCACCCTGAAGAGAGGAGAAATTACAGCATCAAATCACATTCATACTACAATAATGAGAGTCGCACTGATTATGTGCCAGACATTGCTGTACGCACATCACAATTAATAAGCCATTCAACCTATTTTCCAGATAAGGTAAGTAAAGCCCAGAGAGGTTAAGAGATGCCAAGTGGCCAGGTGGGATTGCAGCCCAGGCAGCCTGACCCCACCCACGTGCTGCTGGACATAAAAGAAGAAAACTTTGGTTGTAAAATATCTCCCCGAAGGAGGCCAGCGCCCCAGGGAGCTGGAAGCTGAGCCAGCTATGGGACAGGGTGCCTCTGTGTGGGTGGGGGGCTTCCAGTTTCCAGGGTCTTCAGGTCCTGAGAAGGGGATTCCCAGCCTCTGCAAGGCACTGGCCCTACAACCCTTGAGCCCCCCACTTCCTGTCCCAGAGGCTGGTCTGGAAACTACAAAGCCCAGTGCTCAGACAGCTCTGAGATTGGGCTACAGATAATCCGAGATTGGCATGCAGATAAGGTCCTCTGTTCTGCCAGAGTGGAAGGAGGTGGATGCATCTTTTGAATGTTTACAGTAAAGGGCAAACGGATGGAAATGTGGGCTAGGAAAGTTGCGGTGCCTTTGCCTCATCGGGTTGGGGTAAACATTCACTCTACTCATGCCAAGAGCCTCGAAGAAATTCATCAGTCACCCCCATATCCTCAGGTCTTTGCCCACACCTCTTCACCTGCCTATTTCCTAGTCCTCTTTCAGGTCTCCAATTAAGCGTGTTTTCCTCCAGGAAGGCTTCCCAATCCTCAGACCGGGCAGGGATGGGCTTTCTGTCCATTTCACCTGGAGCTGAGCAGGTCCAATCTGGCTGCACAGTTAAGAGAACACAAGCCACTGCTGGGAGACGTGCAGCAGGGAGATAGGGTGGAGGCTCCAGCAGGCCCGAGAGGAGATACACCCCAGTGCAATGAGCCCCAAAGGAAACAGGTCCATCCAGGGCCCCTCCTGGATTCCCTCTGGGTGTACAGAAAAATGGTGACTTTTTTTTTTTTTTTTTTTGAGACGGAGTCTCGCTCTTTCACACAGGCCGGACTGCAGTGGCGCTATCTCGGCTCACTGCAAGCTCCGCCTCCCGGGTTCACGCCGTTCTCCTCCCTCAGCCTCCCAAGCAGCTGGGACCACAGGCGCCCGCCACCGCGCCCGGCTAATTTTTTGTATTTTTAGTAGAGACGGAGTTTCACCGTTAGCCAGGATGGTCTCGATCTCCTGACCTCGTGATCCACCCGTCTCGGCCTCCCAAAGTGCTGGGATTACAGGCGTGAGCCACCGCGCCAGGCCAAAAATGGTGACTTGTATCTCCTTTCCTTCTGGTTCTTTTCTGGTTCTGCCACTTAACCCTGAGGGACCGTGAGCACGTTACTTAGCCTCTCTGCGCCTTGGTTTCCTCCCTTAGGAAACGGGGATAATGGTACCTGTCTTGTAGGCTGTTGTGAAAGTTAAAAGAGGCCTAAAGGCAAATGCTCCATTACTGCTACCACCACCGTCATCTCTCATGTCTAGTGACTGCGCGTCCGAGTGCAGCAACGGGATTCCCTTGCGCCCTCCAGGGGCAGCTCTCCAGTATTGCAGGCTGCCAAGCACAACTCAGGCGTCCCTGAAGGCTGAAAGTGACCACCGCCCTGCCCTGAAATAAAAAAAATTAATCCAGCTGGTTTAAGTCAGAAAAGAATTGCTTGACCACAGCAGCCACATGCTGTGCTCTCCCCTGGGGGCTTCTCAAGTGGATGGCTCCTTCGGAAGCCTTCAAACTGCCATGGCACTGCCACCTCCTGAGACCCCTGGCTACTTATTTATTCAATACTGAACACCCGTTCTATGCCAGACTCTTTTCCGGGTACTCTGTTCTATGGATCCGCAGTGAACAGCACATGAAAATCTCTTCCCTCATGGAGCTGACATTCTAGTGGGAGAGACAGAGAATGAACAAAATAGATAAATATTTCATAGAGTATGTCACATGGTTACAGGTGCTAAGGAGTAAAATAAATCAGAAAGGGTAGGCGAGGTCTTGAGCATGTAATTTTGAGCCAGTCAGGGCATGCCTCGGAGGGGATAACCTGTGAATCAAGACTTGAAGGTGGCTCACGCCTGTAATCCCAGCACTTTGGGAGGCTGAGGCAGGCAGATCACAAGGTCAGGAGATCGAGACCATCCTGGCTAACGGTGAAACTCCGTCTCTACTAAAAATACAAAAAATTAGCCGGGCGTGGTGGCGGGCGCCTGTAGTCCCAGCTACTCGGGAGGCTGAGGCAGGAGAATGGCGTGAACCCAGGAGACGGAGCCTGCAGTGAGCTGAAATTGCGCCACTGCACTCCAGCCTGGGTGACAGAGTGAGACTCCGTCTCACAAAAAAAAAAAAAAAAAAAAAAAAAAAAAAAAAAAGACTTGAAGGAGATGTAGGAGAGAGCCACGGAGATACGGAGATATTGGGGGAAGAGCATTCCCAGCAAAGGTCTTAAGCAGGACTGTGTCATCTGTGAGGTAGGAACTATCTTGTTCCCAGCTGCGACCCCAGCAACTGGAGTGGTACCTAGCACAATAGTACTCAATAAATATTGCATGGATGGGTGAAAAAATCCCACATATGCGCTTCAGGAACAGCTTGCTCTGGGCTCAACTGATGACCCCAAGGTTGTTGGCTTCATTCTCAGACAAGGTTTCTCCCTATGGTCCAAGAAAGTCACTCAGCTTCAAATCCTATTCAAGGAGCAAGAATCTATTTCTCGATATTACCGGAAAAACCCCCAGCACAGCTCATTGGCTGAGTAGATCACCTGTCCATCCCCCAGCCAATCCCTGACGCCAGCGGATGGCATGGGGACGTGGCTTAGGACCAGGTCACATGCCCCACCCACAGCACACTCTGGAAGGAAGGAGTGGCTGGAAGGAGGAGAAGGGATGCTGGGTGGGCAAAGCGCTGAAGTCTTGCAGAATATTCATAACAGCTTAAATGCATCTATTTCTTTCTATCAAGCACGACTGCGTGCTGGCCCCAGCTAAGGTACATTTAACGCTCACAACAGCCCCAGCGAGTAGTAGATTAGCCTCATTTTACAGATCTAGAAACTGAGACCAAGAGGAAACTTAGGCTTGAAATTCCACAGCTAGCAAGTGGGGAGCCTGGGACCTCCTGGCTCAAAGGGAGCTTGGAGCTTCCACAGGGCTCCACCCTGAAATCCCCTGTGCTATCAGGGTGACTGCCGTCATCCAGCTAGGGACAAGCAGGCTGAACCAACCCTGAGCTAAAGCTGCAAGGCCTTAGCGTGAAGGCAAACTGACAGCGCAAAGGCAGCCACCTCTTTGATGAAGAAAGGGAAATGGAAATGCTAGTTCAGGGCAGCTCCCAGGGGCCCACAGGCCATGCGGGGACTGTTGGCAGAGGCTATAGGCGCTGATAGGGCTTGTTCCTCAAATGCAAGCCCAGGGTAGAGGTAGGAGGCCAGCAGAGGGGTGGGCTGCCTCTCAGGGCTGGGGTCCCAAGAAGTTGCCATGAGGATGGGACAAGGGTGCATGTGCAACCTGTTGAGAATTCAAGGAAAATCTGGTATGCTTGCTGTGCCTGCTGTATGCCCAGGCTGGGGCAGCTGCATCTCCTTCCAAGCGCAGAGGACCCCAGCCACCTGCTGCCCTACAGCCACCCCACATCCAGCCCAGCACAGGGCCTGGCACCCGGCAGGTGTCCAATAAATGTTTGCTGCTGAACGGACCACCCAATGGCTCTGTAAAGAGGGTAAATTATCAGCCTCATTGCCAAGAAGAGGAAGCCAAAGCTCTGAGAAGGTCCAGGCAGGACAAGTATTGAAGCCCAGCTGGACCCAGCTCCCCAGCACCATGCCTGGGAAACTCCCAGCGTTGTGAGGGCCGGGCAGGCGAATGTCAGGTGGCACAGGCCACACCCCAGTTGCTGGCATTCCTCTCCTGGGGCACCTGCCCTGGCGAAGCACTCAGAGACCTTTGGACAGCTGGCAGGTCCTCCGGGGTGACCAGGGCCCCACTCTCCCCACCTCCCCGCTGGCTTCAATCTGAGAAATGGAAAAGGTGGTGCTCATCTCATAGCGAAGGGGCTGGAGCACAGATACCAGGGCAGGCTCCAAGGTCAACCCCCAGTGGAGAGCTCTGGGAGGGCCACATGGTGGGGTGTACCTGCCCACCAGGGCACTGTGCCTGGCATGGGGAGGTGCCCAGTAAGTGCTGACTTGAGCAGAAACCAGTTGGTAAGTTACACCCGTTGTTGATGCTGCTGATGCTGGGGAAGGAATGGGCTCTCCCCTCCCCCAGCTCTCCACGCAGCCACCCATTCCCCACCCAGTTCTTCTTCCCCACCCTCTTGGAACAAGTGGGCTGAACCAACCTCTTGGGGCTCATTCCTGGCCCATCAGTACTTCAGTACTCCCTCCCCTCACCCTCCTCCTTCTAACACCTCCTCCTACCCCCTCCTCCATTCAAATCTCCCACCCACCACATAGTTCCCGCTTCTCCACTTCCCTCCCCCCATTCCTCTACCTTCCTTGTCCCCACTCCACTCCCTCAGCTTATTCTCCCCACTCTCTCCACCTTATTCTTCCCCACCCACACCATTGTCCCTGCCCTCCTCCCTTCTCCTATCCCGGCCCTCATCTCCCTCATCTTACTCTACCCCTTCGTCTCTGCCACCCCATTCCGTCACCCCGCAGCTGCCCTCCCCCCAGCCCCCCAGTGCTCCCCCTCCACACCCCCACACCCTGAGCACCAGGCCGGGAAGGTCAGGAGGGGGCCCTGCAGGCACATCTGGGGATTTTGGTAACCCTCCTCGGGAAGCGCCTAACTGATGCCTCCTCTCCTCTGCGCAGAGGGAAGCGGCTGCTGGGATAGACAGGAAGGGGTCTGAGCCTCCCAAGGGCCAGAAAGGCAGAAGTGCATTGCGGGTGCAGTGAGTCCTCACTTAGCTCACTGAGAGGTTCTTGGAGACTGCAACTTGACGTGCAGTAAGGAAACCAATTTTCCCATAGGCTAACTGCTATAGACAAGAGGTAAGTTCCTATGGCATATTCCCGGTCACGAAAACATCACCAACCATCTACATAAGGACCCCAAATGCGTTAATATTAAACATTAAAATAATTGTGAGCTATACATACCTTTAAGAATGATTACTAAAAAATAAGTCAGATCATGATTTCTCCACTTACACAGTTCAGGGTAGCAGGGGCCGGAGCCCAACCCGGCAGCTCAGGACAGCGCAAGGTGGGAACGAGCCCCAGCCAGGACTCCATCCCCTCTCAGGACACACTCACACACACCCACGCTCGCTCACGCTGGGACACTGTAGACACGCCTATGCACCGATAGCTTTGGGATGTAGAAGGAAACGGACTTCCCGGAGAAAATCCCCGCAAACATGGGGAGAACGGGCAGGCTCCACACAGACAGTGGCCCCAGCCAGGAATCAGGTTTGGTTTTTTTTTCTCATCACCATTACAACCAAATGACATTGAAAAAAATGGGCATGGTGGTGGACGCCTGTAATCCCAGCTACTCAGGAGGCTGAGGCAGGAAAATCGCTTGAACCTGGGAGGCGGAGATTGCAGTGAGCAGAGATCGCGCCACTGCACTCCAGCCTGGGCGACAGAGTGAGACTTAGTCTCAAAAAAAAAAAAAAAAAAAAAAAAAGGCCGGGCAGGGTGGCTCACACCTGTAATTCCAGCACTTTGGGAGGCCGAGGTGAGTGGATCACGAGGTCAGGAGATCAAGACCATCCTGGCTAACACGGTGAAACCCCGTCTCTACTAAAAATACAAAAAATTAGCCGGGCTTGGTGGCAGGCACCTGTAGTCCCCGCTACTCGGGAGGCTGAGGCAGGAGAATGGCGTGAACCTGGGAGGTGGAGCTTGCAGTGAGCCGAGATCCTGCCACTGCACTCCAGCCTGGGTGACAGAGCAAGACTCCGTCTCAAAAAAAAAAAAAAAAAAAAAAAAAAATGACGTTATTATATTAGAGGAGCTGCTGTCCAAATGTCCTAAGCAGTCGGGGGATCCTTGAGAATGAGACAAGCATCTGGACTGCGACTCTTGGTTCTCCAAGCCCCTGATTTGGGAGGTGGGCTGGGGTGGGCCTGGGAGCCAGCTCTGTCCAGTACATCAGGCCTTCTGTGGCTACAGCAGGACCAAAGTCCCAAGACCACTAACTGGGCAATTTTTAACTAAATGGCCTAATGTGGTGGAAAGAGTTTTTCTAGGGATGGGCTGTTTTTCCATCTTGGCAAAGAACTGAGCAGAGCCTTCCAGGGCCACCTCGTCGTCTTCACTCCCCACACAAATAGGTCCAAAGCTCTCAGGTCCTAGCTGGACCGCCTCTGAGCTACTCCTGACCACCCCTTCCCCTGCCTTTCCTGAGGCCCAGCTCCCAGAGCCCATCCATGAATGGAGAAGGTAGCCAGGAACCCTTCAGACGCAACAGTTGCCCCCAGGAACCTGCAAACCTGCTGACCACAAGCACCAGGGCCATAACCCACATCCCTTGATTCCCTAAACACACTCTCCCATGCCTTGCAGTGGCCCTGGGCCCAGCCCAATCAATCTCACGTACTCTCAAGACTCAAAGTATCAGAAAAAGATTGTGTGGCCATGTATTCATTTCCCAGGGCTGCCATAACAACCACAAACCGAGTGGCTTAAAACAGCAAAAATTTATTCTGTCACATTCTGGAGGCCAGAGTCTGAAACCGAGGTGTTAGCAGGGCTGCAGGCCCCTCAGAGGCTCTAGAGAAGAATTGTCCCTTATATCCAGTAGATAGGCAATAACAAGTGCTGGCGAGGATGTGGAGAAAAGGGAACTCTCATACATTATTGCTAATGTATGGAATGTACGTTAGTACAACCACTATGGAGAACAGTTTGGAGGTTCCTCAAAAAACTAAAAATAGAGCTACCATACAATCCAGCAATCCCACTGCTGTGTATATACTCAAAAGAAGGGAAATCAGTGTATAAAAGAGATATCTGCACTCTCATGTTTATTGCAGCACTATTCACAATAGCCAAGATCTGGAAACAACCTAACAACAGTCTATCAACAGATGAATGGATGAGGAAATGTGGTACATTTACACAATGGAGTACTATTCAGCCATTCAAAAAATGGTCATTTGCACCAACATAGATGGAACTGGAAGTCATTATGTTGAGTGAAATAAGCCAGGCACAGAAAGACAAACTTTGCATGCGCTCATCATTTCTGAGAGCTAAGAATTAAAACAATTGAATTCATGGAGATAGAGAGTAGAAGGGTGGTTACCAGAGGCTGGGAAGAGTAGTGGGGGTGGGGGAGATGTAAGGATGGTTAATAGGTACAAAAAATAAAAGAATGAATAAGACCTAGTATTTGATAGCACAGTAGGGGGACCACAGTCAATAGTAATTTAATTGCACCTTAAAAATAACTAAAAGAACATAATTGGATTGTTTATAACATGAAGGATAAATGCACCAGGTTTTGGATACTCCATTCACCCTCACGTGATTATTATGCATGGCATGCCTGTATCAAAATATCTCGTGTACCCCATAAATACATACCCCTACTATGTACCCACAAAAATTAAAAGTTAAAAAAATCTCTTACTACTCTATATATCCTCCTACTAGTTCTGTTTCTCTCATGGGACCCTGACTCATCCAAATTTTGGTACTAGAAGAGAGGAACAGAATCTTAAATCTATTTCCAGTGGCCAAGAGGGCATTTAGGTACTCCATGGCATGATGTGGCAATAGAGATATACAAAATATTACCATTGGATACTCTCAATCAAACACATATAAAAGGCAAGGTTCTGGGTGCCCACGTGTTTGATGATATCTGAGAACATTTTAATTAAACTGAGGAGTATGATATTGGCTGGTTGCTGGAGAAAGTGGGGAAAGAAAGGGATGAGTTTAGCCTTTCACATTCTCAGCTTAAACTGTGCATAAATGAACTGAAAACTTCTATGGGCCGGGCATGGTGGCTCATGCCTATAATCCCAGCACTTTGAGAGGCCAAGGCGGGGGGATCACCTGAGGTCAGGAGTTTGAGAGCAGCCTGGCCAACATGGTGAAACTCCATCTCTACTAAAAATACAAAAATTAGCTGGGTGTGGTGGCACGCACCTATAATCCCAGCTACTCGGGAGGCTGAGGCAGGAGAATCGCTTGAACCCGGGAGGCGGAGGTTGCAGTGAGCTGAGATCACGCCACTGCACTCCAGCATGGGTGACAGAGCAAGACTCCGACTCAATAAATAAATAACCCCACTTCATGACACTCTCAATTACCCCATTTCTTTGTGCTGGTCACGCAAGCAGGAAATCACCTCCTGGGGCGCTCCCACAATTCTTAGCAGTTTCTTTGCAGATATAATACTTTCTGTACTCCCACCTCCCATAAAAGCTATTTAGTATGGTTGTGCTCACACCATGGACTGTGATCTTGCTCGGGGAAGAATGCATGCCTGGGTCACTGTTAGTTTCCTCATTGTATTTTGATATTGTCAGCATGTGAGGTGGTCTATTAATATCTGTTCAATGAATGACTGAAAAAATGAATCAATGCTTTATTAAATGATAAATCCATAGTCTGTCGGGTTCACCGACGCCAGCCATCGGTGCCATATTGCCACAAGTGTCCTATGGTAAAGCAGTTTTTCTTGGTCCATTCAAATTGGGATGGGAAGCAGACGTTTTTGTAGAATACACCTCCCGGGCAGAAATGGAATTGCCTCCCTGTGGTGCGCAGATGGAGAATGTCCTCGCATTGTGGTTTCAAGTCCTGGTTTGACGGCCCCACGACCTGGCTTAGACACAGGAGCTGCTCTTCAACTGTTTCTGTTTTTTTGCAAGTTTTGTGAAATTTTTTTCTTCAGAATTGTGCCACCATGTCTTTCCATCCATTATAAAAATATTATATGTCGTGTTTGCCAGAGGAGATCTAAAACAAAATAACAAAAACCACAGTGCTCAGCTCAGCGCACAGGAGTCCTGCTGTCTACTCGCTGGGCAGTGGTGGAGGCTGACGCTTCCCAGCGTGAGGATTCTGCTTCCCATCAGTAAGGTTTGTCATCTGTGAAATTCTTTTTGCCTCTGGGCAGCACAGAGCCTCTGGGATACTCTCTTCCCCCCAGTTTCTCTTAACTAACTCAGGCCACCCACAACTTTGACTGGTCCCTATGGGAGGGGCCACAGTTCTGACCACTTCTGCTGGCATCTCAAGGGGCATGGAGGGAAAATGGCAGGTCCAATGGATGAGCCTTGGTAGGAAGAGGATGCTGGAGGTGGGGGTTGGGGGAGGTGGCCTGAATAAGTCACCAGTTCCAGGAGCCTTGGCATGGAGAGAAAGCAATGCCACTCTTGTGGGGAAATTCAAACACTGCTACCTCTGGAGTCAGAGGGTGGGTAGGGGTGGGGATGGACACTTCCCCTCAACACACACCTCCACCCCATTGCTCTAGGGGCAAGCTGAGCATTCAGTGCAGTGTCAGGCAGGACTGAAGGGCTGTGGGGAGCTGCTCTTCCTTCTGTGGTCAGGAATACATGTCCCTGGGGACGCAGCAAGAAGCACGTAATTTCAAAATGCAGCTATGCATACACGTCATCGTGCAAACCATTTGCTTCCTAGCGCCTGCTCATGGTGAGTGCCTCTGTGCCTGAGCCCCCTCATCTAGAGGCCTAACCAAAATATTTAACAACTGGTGTAGACGGGGGTGTAGACAGGCACTGACCAGTCAAAATGACCACCACTGAAGCAGAGCCTTGGAGGGCCACGGCTGTGCCAGGCACTAATCCTTCATTTGCAGGATCACGGAGAAGATCAGGAGGTCAGTGGGAAGCTCGGGGAAGGCTTTCAGTATTCTAACAAGCAGGACAGCTGTGCCAATGTGAAGGAGCTGAATATCAGCCCTGCTCTCACTCTCCTTCGTGGCTTCAGCCCTCCTCACCCTCTTAGATTTGTATTTTTCCTTTCTTTTGTAAATCCATATTCCTATTTACCAATCTTTCAGCCAGAGCCCTCAATATGGGGACAGGTCTGGCCTAACCGTAGTGGCCTTGAGAGGCAACCCTGGCCCACCCAGGGATCCCCAAACCCGGCTGTGCATCAGAATCACCCAGGCTGTGCCGAAAACCCATGGCCCAGGTCCTGTGTGCTTTGACAGAGCAGGCCAGGGGATGCTGAAGCACAACCAGGCTTGCAGCTTCTGCCCTCCTCGTAAACCAGATCAGCAGGAAGCCCTGAGGGCAGCGTGAGTTCTAACACCCGCGGGTTCTTGGAAGGAAGGTTATGCCAGCACCACGCACGATGGCTGTTTCTTCCTGATGTATGAGGCCAACCCAAGCAGCAACAGCACGATGGCCATGAGGATGGCCACCCCTGAGACGGCGGCGATGATGGTGTTCCTCTGCAGGAAGTGCAGAAGCTGCCCGCAGGGCATAGTCCTAAAGTGAGCATCTAAATGAGAAGACACAGCGCAGAGTGAACAGAGATACCCACCGGGCTACCCACAACCAGGACTAAGCCTGCAAGGGACACCTGTTCATTCCATTCATAACAGAATAGAAACCTTGGCATCTCGGCCGGGCGCGGTGGCTCACGCCTGTAATCCCAGCACTTTGGGAGGCTGAGGCGGGCGGATCACGAGGTCAGGAGATCGAGACCATCCTGGCTAAGACGGTGAAACCCCGTCTCTACTAAAAATACAAAAAAAATTAGCCGGGCGTGGTGGCGGGCGCCTGTAGTCCCAGCTACTTGGGAGGCTGAGGCAGGAGAATGGCGTGAACCCGGGAGGCGGAGGTTGCCGTGAGCGTGAGCTGAGATCGCACCACTGCACTCCAGCCTGGGCAAAAGAGTGAGACTCCATCTCAAAAAAAAAAACAAAAAACCTTGGCATCTTAGCCACTGGTTCCAGAAGTCCTCTTGGGAAGGAACTGGCTGTTTGGGGAAATGCATTCATATGCATTCATCTGCTATTTGGCGATAAGATGGGATGATTTTGGGGGGTGGAGATGAGACACTGAGGATACGGGCTGGCATGCAACAAAGCAGCCAGAAAGAAAGTTCCACAGACAATTTGTAGGAGGTAAAGAGAAGAACAGAGGAGAGCTCAGATGGGTAGGAGGAAGCAGGGGCACTAGAGGAGGTTGAGAAATCCTACTGCAAAGGATTTTAAGAACAATGGAGGCGAACACTCTGCAGCTTTTCACAGGGCAGTGATATAACCTCTTCTCTGCTTCCCCTCCTCTGCCCCCTGGCCTCAGAAAGTTGTACTGCATACACAATCTGCCTCGTGTGTGTAGGTTTGGGAGATTTCATGTCTGCACCAGCACGAGGCAAACACAAGGCCACAGATGATCCTGAGCTCCTGAGCCCCTCTGAGGACTTACAGAAATTGTGAGAGTGGACGGAATACCACTGAGCACAGGCTGGGGAAAACGCGGCAGTCTTAGCTAGATCTCAAAGGAAGGAGATCTCAGCCGACATTAGTGTCTCCTAGAGCTTCTGTCACCCCATTTATAATGTGACCAAAAAAGAAAAAGACATCAGGGAAATCAGGCATGGAGGTATGATCCCAGGTATCGGCTGGTTTCGTGTGGAGAGCTGCCCAGGGCAGCCGGTTATGTAGACAGCAGAGTGCTGAGCAAGGGTCTTCTTGGGTGATGGGGAGAAAACAGGGCATGTCCAGCCTCCTACCTTCAGCTATGCTATGCCAAGAGGCAGCGTATCCAGCAGCTCTAAGGCTCTGCTAGAATAATTCAGCATTTAATTTCTAAGCATTAGGAAGTGACAACCAGGTATAATTTTGACAGGGAGTGGCAGTGTGGAGGGGTGTACTGCACTTGGTACCAGCATGGGTGAGCTTCTGCCCACTCTAAACAGGTCTGGGCTCAGGGATGAGCGAGGGTGAAGCCCTGGCTGTATAGAAACAATATAAAAGTAGCATCTTTTTGGAAGAGTGGTGAAATTCCCGGAGTTGGGTTTTTATTTATTTATTTATTTTTTTAGATTGAGTCTCGCTCTTGTTGCCCAGGCTGGAGTGCAATGGTGCAATCTCAGCTCACTGCAGCCTCCCCCTACTGGGTTCAAGTGATTCTTGAACTGCCTCAGCCTCCCGAGTAGCTGCGATTACAGGCACCCGCCACCATGCCCAGCTAATTTTTTCTTTTGTATTTTTAGTAGAGACGGGGTTTTACCATGTTGGCCAGGGTAGTCTCTAACTCCTGGCCTCAGGTGATCCGCCCACCTTGACCTCCTAAAGTGCTGGGATTACAGGCGTGAGCCACCGTGCCCGGCCTCTGGAGTTGGTTTAATTCATAAATTTTAACTGCAGGTTGTATTCACTGCAGATTTAATTCACTTTAGCGGGTGAATTAAAGATGTCAGTTAAAATACCATGAAAGGCAAAAGACACATTCAGAAGTTGTCCGTATTTAAGCATCATACTTAGTTTATAGGCCATATAGATTCCCACCTGGTTTAGCTGCTCCTTGAAGTGTTTCTTTATCTATAGTAGTTAACTGCTCTCTTAAATCCCTGTCGAACAGACAGGATTCTTTAAAATTCTTCTCCTCTGAAAGGTGATCTACAAAAGATAAAATGTGTTCATCTACAAACAACCATGGCATGTGATTAGTTCAGCGTTTATGATAAAAGTAGCTTCTTCTAGACTCAAAGTGAGGAGTTAGGGAGGACTTGGGGGAAAAGTCTAAATGTCCTACAGAACCTCAGTGTTTTGGTGTTTTATTGTTTTTGTTTACTTTTTAAAAAATCTAACAAATTCCTGGGCAACCCACCCATAGCTGAGGCAGCATTTCTTACACTCGAGCGTGCATCTGAATCACACTGGGAGGGCTTATGAAAACACAGATTCCTAAGCCCCACCCCAGAGTTTCTGATTCCATAGGTCTGGGGTAGGCCTGGGAATGCGTATGTCTCACAGATCCTGAAAGACGCTGCTTCTGTGGGTAGAGGACCACACTTAGAGAACCTCTCTAAGCCCCAGCCTACTTCTCCACTTGCATAAAATAGAGATAATGAGACCTACTTCACAGATTGTACAATGTTCATGAAAATAATTTTTAAAACACGAAGTACTATAAAAATTTTCTTGAGTTGCGAGGACAAGATAGGAAAATTAACCACACTGAAATATTCAGGTATCAGTAGAGGGATTGCAGAATAGTTTAATAGAAAGAAGACAGTCGAAAATGAGAAATATTTGCATCCTAGCTCTGCCCTTTGGTGCCTGACTCGTTTGCATATGGGACCTGTCAAAGGGCCTGAGTTTAGCTTGGAGAAAATCGGGAGGCCAGCATGGCCTGCCTATCTTTGCCAGATGCAGGATGGCCTGGGAAGAGGCTGAGAGATGTTTTGAGAAGCTCTGGGGAACAAACTAGAACCAATGGGTAGGCGCTCCAGGGAAATCTGTTTGGACTGTTTAGCATTTAGAAGGTGAGCTATCAAAGAGGGAATGGGAAAGGATGAGAAGTAATGAATCTCACACCCCGGAAGACTTCAAAGCAGGCTGGAGCCCCCAGCTCCAGATGGGAGACCTCCAAGAGCTGGAAGTGGGGGCGGGGCAGCTTTGGATGGGTTTGGTAAATCTTCCTTGGCCTTGTTCACAGAGAGATAGAGAACTGTCACAATAAGAGTTTGCGACCAGCCTGGGCAACATAGCAAGACTTCATCTCTACTAAAAATAAAAAAAAAAAAATTAGCCAGGCATGGTGGCGCACACCTATAGTCCCAGCTACTAGAAAGGCTGAGGTAGGCAGATGGCTTGAACTCAGGAGATCAAGGCTGCAGAGAGCTATAATCACACCTCTGCACTCCAGCCCAGGTAACAGAGCGAGACCCTGTCTCAAAAGAATAATAAAATTAAACAATAAAATAAAATAACAGAAAATTATCACAATATGATTAAGACCATCATGTGGGTGTCTGATAACAGTCTCATGAAGTTCTAGGTATTCCTGGAAAAAAGAGAGAAATTTGTTCCTTATTCAACTTGGCTTAGAAAAGAGAGAAAACTCCCAATTTAATAAGACTGATAATTAACTTGACTTTTGAAATGCAACATGTCAAATCCGACTCAGATTAATAGCCACAGACAGAAAGCCCTGGCGAGCATGGAGTTATCCACCAGGGGGCGCGCTTGGCTTGGTCTTCCACAGAGCTGCAGCAATGGTAGACCTGACACGGGAACACATTTTCACTCTCTTTCTCTACCAGAGGCAAGAGCCACTGCCTATTCTTATCGTCAGTATGGACGTAAGTTTTCATTTACCTAAGGTTCTTTGAAGAATCTGAAGGCGTCTTTTATGTTTGATGGTTTGTGTTTGATCATTTCTTGGATTATTTTTTTGTGGGAAAAAATAAGCACAATTATCAAATTTTTGACCAACACAGTTTCATTTCCAGATTTCTTTCCAACTTTAGAACTACTAACTATGACAGGAGCAGCCACCCATTACAAGAGCAATTCTCCCGTCCTTCCATGGTGTAGGCTCAACCCAAGCTGCCAATCAAGCATGTGCTGGGCTTGGTAAAAACCTTCTTAAAGGAGTGCAGAACCAAGAAACTCTGACTTTGTGCTCAAGAAAAAGTTGAAGTCTTTCATCTTCATGATTCTCTATGTTTTGGAGACTCTAACATTGACGTGAGCCTTTGATTACATGTTAATAGCATGTTATTGCTAGGACTGATGCTATGTTCCATTCAGTGGACCTATGATCATCAGTAGCTACAGCTGCTGTCCACAGACCTGGGCACACCTTTTAAAAGACACTTCACTTCCCAGAATGGTCATTTCCCCACTCCTCCTCCTATCGAGATGTTTTCGACCATTGGTTTTTTTGTTTTTTGTTTTTTGTTTTTGAGACGGAGTCTCTGTCCCCCAGGCTGGAGTGTAGTGGCCCCATCTCGGCTCACCGCAACCTCCACCTCCTGGGTTCAAGCAATTTTCCTGCCTCAGCCTCCCAAGTAGCTGGGATTACAGGGATACGCCAGCACACCCAGCTAATATTTGTATTTTTAGTAGAGATGAGGTTTCACCATGTTGGCCAGGCTAATCTCGAACTCCTGACCTCAGGTGATCCACCTGCCTCGGCCTCCCAAGTGCTGGGATTACAGGCGTGAGCCACCACACCCAGCCTTTTTTTCTTTTTTTTTTGAATGGTCACTACTGCCAAGGAGGAGGTGCAGACAGTGTGGTCTGGAATTTACTGTCCCTGCAGAGTAGCCTGAGAGCAGCTCCCACCCTCTGAAGATGGATCTGATCAGCCCCCTCAGCTGGCAGACGTGAGCTTTGTCACTGCCTACAGTTCTTCTCAGCCCTCTTCTTCCCTCACTCTTCCTACTTGGAAAAACCCTATCAAGGAGATCAGCCTCTTGTTCTCCCAGAACTCCGTGCGATTACAACGTAAGCACTTTTTAAAGACCTTCAATGTTAGCATGTTTATATCTAATAGTTATTTACCGATTAGATTGACTCTCCTAAGAGCTGTGAGCTCTTGGAGGACAAGAATGCCTCACTGAGCTCTCTAGCTTCCAGCACAGTGCTTCCCACTGGGTAGGACAGATCAGTAGTTAGGTCTTGAGTGAGAGAATGAATCTGGAAGAATCTTGACTGCAACCTCATGGGGGACTCTGAGCCAGAACTACCCTGCTAAACCTGTCTTGCTAGGCAAGACTGCCGGGCATGGTGGTGCGTGCCTGTAGTCCCAGCTACTCAGGAGGCTGAGACAGGAGAATTGCTTGAATTTGGGAGGTGGAGGTTGCAATGAGCCAAGATTGCGCCACCGCACTCCAGCCTGGATGACAGAGTGAGATTCCATCTCAAAGAAAAAGAAAAGAAAAGAAAAGAAAAGAAAGAAAATAAAAGAAAAAATGTTGTCCTGGCTTCTCCTGAAGGAAAAATAAAGATTTGAAAGTAAAATTATGTTAAAGCAATTGACTGAAGAAACAGTTTTAGAAATCAAAAGATCAAGCTAGATAGTAGGCTTTCTATTCCTCAAGCATATCATTTAATTTTACTTAAACAATGATTATTCAGGGGTGAAGGTAAATTATTCAGGGGCATTTTTTATTCAAGGGTGAAGATACATTATTCAGGGGCTGAGGTATCTTGGCACTGTAATATACATTCCTGGGCAGACCACACCTAACATTTGCAAAAAACCAGCACAAGAATTTTAATAGGTTAACAAATGGTACTAGGAAAACAGGATATCATATGCGAAAGAATAAAGTTAGAGCCTTATCCAACACCATAAACAAAAATTAACTCACAATGGACCAAAGACCTAAATGTAATACCTAAAACTATAAAAACGTTTAGAGAAAAACATAGAGCAGAAACTTCATGACATTGGATTTGGAAATTATTTCTTGGGTTTGATACCAAAGGCACAGGCCACCAAAGAAAAAACAGACAAATTGGACTGTATGCAAATTTTAAAATTTTGCGCATCAAAAGACAGTGTCAACAGAATAAAAAGGTACCCCACCCAGGATGGGAAAAAACATTTGCAAATTGTTTATCTGATAAGGGAATGATACTCAGACTATAGAGAGAACTCCTGACACCCAACAATATACAAAAATACAAACAACTGATTCAAAAATGGGCAAAGAACTTGAATAGATATTTTTCCAAAGAAGATATACAAATGGCCAATAGTACTTGAAAAGATGCTCAACATCACTAATCATTAGGGAATTGGCGAGGATGTGGAGAAACTGGAACCCTTGTGTGCTGTTGGTAGGAATGCAAATGGTACCGCCATGATGGGAAACAGCATGGCGTTTCCTCAGAAAATTAAAACCAAAATCATATCATCCAGCAATCTCACTTCTGAGTATATACCCAAAATACCTGAAAGCAGGGTCTCAAAGAATTATTTGTACATCCACGTTCATAACAGGATTATTCACAAGGCTAAAATGTGGAAACAACCCAAATATCCATCAAGGGATAAGTAAGTAAACAAAACATGGTAGATACATACAATGGAATATTACTCCGCTTCGAAAAGAAAGGACATTCTGGGCCGGGCATGGTGGTTCACGCCTGTAATCCCAGCACTTTGGGAGGCCGAGGCGGGCGGATCATGAGGTCAGGAGATCGAGACCATCCTGGCTAACACAGTGAAACCCCATCTCTATTAAAAATACAAAAAAAAAAAAAAAAAATTAGCCGGGCGTGGTGGCGGGTGCCTGTAGTCCCTGTAGTCCCAGCTACTGGGGAGACTGAGACAGGAGAATGGCATGAACCCAGGAGGAGGAGGTTGCAGTGAGCCAAGATCGCGCCACTGCAGCCTGGGCGATAGAGTGAGGCTCTGTCTCAAAAAAAAAAAAAAGAAAGAAAGAAAGAAAGGACATTTTGAAATATGCCACAACATGGATGAACCTTGAGGACATTATGCAAAATGAAATGTCAGTAACAAAATACTGTATGATTGCACTTACGTGAGATATTTATAGTCAAAATCATACAGAAAGTAGAACGGTGGTTGCCAGGGGATGCTGAGATGGAGGAATGGATGGTTATTATTTAATGAGTATAGAGTTTTGGTTTTATAAGATGAAAAGAGTTCTGGAGATGAATGCTGGTGATGGTTGCACAACATTATGAATGTATTTAATACCACTGAACTGTGCCCTTAAAAATGGTTAAGATGGTAAACTTCATATTATGTGTATTGTATAATAATTTTTAAAAATTGAAAAAGAATACAAATGGAGAAACACCTATCATATGTATCAATAATTAAAAGTTATAAATCATGGCTCAGTCTACATATCTATACAAAGACCTGCTGCTTTCTTGGTGGCTAAAGGAACCCCAAGGCTCCTTCCAATCCCCTGCCACTCTGAGTGACAGCACAGATGTGCTGAAGCAGAGAAAAAGCTGGGCCCAGGCCCAAGATTCCTGAGCAGTGACTGGACTCTCCAAGCCTCACTATGACCAAGTAGAATTTATTCTAGGAATGTAAGGTTGGTTTGATATTAGGAAATTCATTATTATCATATATATAATCTTAATAGACTTAAGGAAAAGAATCATATGATTAGTTCCAAAAATTCAGCACCCATTCTTGATTTTTTAAATATGTAATAACAAATGTTAACAAGGATGTGAAGAAATGGGAACTCTTGCACATATTGGTGGGATTGTAAAACAGTGTAGCTGCTATGGAAACAATATGGAGGTTCCTCAAAAAATTAAAGATAGATTTACCATATGACCCCACAATCCCACTTCTGGATACATATCCTAAAGAATTGAAAACAGGATCTTGGAGATATTTGCATACCTATATTCATTGCAGCATTATTTACAATAGCCAAGATGTGAGAGCAACCCAAGTGTCCAACAACAGATAAATGGATAAAGAAAAGATGGTATATATATACAATAGAATATTATTCAGCCTTAAAAAGAAAGGAAATTCTGTCATATGCTACAACATGCATTAACCTTGAGAACATTATACTACATGAACTAAACCAACCACAAAAAGACAAATACTGTATGATTCAACTTACATGAGATATCTAAAGTAACACAACTCACAGAAACAGAAAAAAATACCCAAAAAGTATCTTTTGGACAGATATATTCTCATTCTCAGTATAAATATATGTATGCATACATATTTACATGTATGTGTGTAGATGGAAGGCTAGATATACAGATAATCTCTCATTCATATTAGTCCTATAACCAGACTCTTAATCAGGAAACTCAAGAGGCATTTCTCCAAGAGCAAGAACAAAGCAGGATGCCCACTGTATCTCCAGCAACCATTCAAGATTATCCTAGAGGTATTAGCAATGCAATTAAACATGATAAATAAATCAGGTAGAGGCATAACAATAGGTAAAGATGTAAAACTGGCTGGGCATGGTGGCTCATGCCTGTAATCCCAGCACTTTGGGAGGCCAAGGCGGGCAGATCACCTGAGGTCAGGAGTTGGAGGCCAGCCTGGCCAACATGGTGAAACCCTGTCTCTAATAAAAATTCAAAAATTAACTGGGCATGGTGGCATGTGCTTGTAGTCCCAGCTACTTGGGAGGCTGAGGCAGGAGGATCACTTGAACCTGGGAGGAGGAGGTTGCAGTGAGCTGAGATCATGCCACTGCACTCCAGCCTGGGCAACAGTGTGAGACTCCATCTCAAAAAAAAAAAAAAAAAAAAGAAGTAAAACTATCTCTATAACAGTATACGTAGAATTGAACAAGGCAATAGGACATAAAATTAATATATAAAAATCAAGCCTTCCTATACCCAAACATTAAGTAGGTAGAGAGTATAATGATAGAGAAACCCCCTCTCTTACAATAGCAACACAGAAAATTAAGTGACTTAGGAATAAACTTAAGAAGATACATGTAAAAATCTATGTAAGGAAAACTTTAACACACAGTGAAAATAAACTTGAAGAACTGGAAAGGCATTCCCATTTCTAGCATAGGATGACCTAACATCTGTTTTCCCACAGTGAATATTGTAGTATAAATTTGATGCAATGCCAATCAGAATACCATAGCCTTTTGATGAAGTTAGACAAGTTGATGTTAAAGTTCACATGGAAAAACAAACATGCAAAAATAGCCAGGAAAACAATGAAAAAACAAAAACTGCAAAAGGGGAACTAGTCCGACAAGACATTAAAACACACTATTTTCAGGCGCGGTGGCTCATGCCTGTAATCCCAGCACGGAGTTTCGCTCTTGTTGCCCAGGCTGGAGTGCAGTGGCGCGATCTCAGCTCGCTGCAACCTCTGCCTCCTGGGTTCAAGCGATTCTCCTGCCTCAGCCTCCTGAGTAGCTGGTCTTGAACTCCTGACTACAGGGGAGCTACATCACCCAGCCAGGAATAAGGATTTTTAATAAGCTCTTCCCATTCCCCACCCTGACCTCCGGCTGATGCATGGTGCGGCCCGGGAACTCCTGGCCAGGTTCATAATCCTGCACCCAGGAAAGACCACATATTTACCAGCTTGGACAGTGACCTATTTGGCCTGGTTTTTTTCTTTTAAATCTTTTAAGTCTTTCTAGGGGAGAAATGCTTCATGGATTCTAGCTGCTCATCCTGTCTGTGGAGCCAATCTCCCTCCAGCATGATCAGATAGCTCAGATGAGCCTCTGCTCCTAGCTGGAGGCAGCGCTTTCCCACACTCCTGAGGAGGAGGGGAGAATTCCTCCGGGGCAGCACCTCAGGAATGTGCTCAGCCACTGCCCAGCCCCACCACCCCAGCGGGGGAAGGACCTGCCCAGGTCAGTTTGGGAGGAGGCACCAGGTGTCTGCGGCTAGCTCTCTGTCCCTCCTGGCTGGCATCCGTCTGCCTGCAGAGAATAAACATTCTGATCTGCTCCTCCATGCTGTACATATCACAGAAGCAGACTCGCACAGGGTGGGATTTGGGGAAACCATGGGTATCCTAAACCTTACCATTGATTAGGGAACTCTTCATAATTCAGGGTGAAGCACACACGTTGTACAGCCAAGTACAAGTACTCTCTTGTGGCCAGGTGCGGTGGCTCACACCTGTAATCCCAGCACTTTGGGAGGCCGAGGCAGGCGGATCACGAGGTCAGGAGTTCAAGACCTGCCTGGCCAACATGGTGAAACCCCGTCTCTACTAAAAATACAAAAATTAGCTGGGTGTGGTGGTGTGCGTCTGTAGTCCCAGCTACTTGGGAGGCTGAGGCAGAGAACTGCTTGAACCCAGGAGACAGAGTTTGCAGTGAGCTGAGATGGTGCCACTGTACTCCAGCCTGGGCAACAGAGTGAGACTCTGTCTCAAAAAAAAAAACAAAAAAAAAAAAACAAGTACTCTCTTGTACTCTCTACAAGAGAGTCTGAGCACCATCTGCCAGACCCTCAGCTCTGAACTCAGGTCAGGTAAAAGGAAAAGGAGGGGCCAGGCCCGGTGGCTCACACCTGTCATCCCAGCACTTTGGGAGGCCAAGGCAGGTGGATCACGAGGTCAGGAGATCGAGACCATACTGGCTAACACGGTGAAACCCTGTCTCTACTAAAAAATACAAAAAATTAGCCAGGCGTGGTAGCGGGCCCCCATAGTCACAGCTACTTGGGAGGCTGAGGCAGGAGAATGGCGTGAACCTGGGAGGCAGAGTTTGCAGTGAGCCGAGACTGCACCGCTGTACTCCAGCCTGGGCAACAGAGTGAGACTCCGTCTCAAAAAAAAAAAAGAGGAAAAAGAACAATGACTTACCAACCCCCAATTCCAATTTTATGCATTTGCATTTACCTTTATCAGGAATTTTGTCCACACTGCCAAGGAAATATTCTGGTTTAGGAGAATTCCAAGCAATGCTGGTTCCTTTGATAAGACACATGAATAAAAAACAATAAGAAAAAGGGTATTCATCAGTACACATTTGCAAGCACCTTGGGCCCATATTTTGTATTCCATTTTTTGGTTTTTTTGTGGTTTTTTTTTGTCTTTTGAGACAGAGTCTCGCAGTCACCCAGGCTGGAGTGCAGTGGCAAGATCTCGGCTCACGGCAACCTCCGCCTCCCAGGTCCAAGTGATGCTCATGTCTCAGCCTCCCAAGTAGCTGGGACTACAGGCATGAGCCACCATGGCTGGCTAATTTTTTTGTATTTTTAGTAGAGACAGGGTTTCGCCATGTTGGTCAGGCTGGTCTCGAACTCCTGACCTCAAGTGATCTGCCCACCTCGGCCTCCCAAAGTGCTGGGATTACAGGTGTGAGCCACCGCGCCTGGCTTGTTTTCCATTTTTAAGTTGAAATGCTAATATAGAACTCAACTTGTGTGAGCAAAATGTGTGTTTGAAAGTGAATGCCTTGATGTAGACAGTGGTGCCGCCTCACTGCCGATTGCAGAGGTGCCCAGGCAGTTGTCCTGGGCTACCCTCAGGGAAACTACCCTCAGGAATTGGGGTGCAAACATCTGTCTGCAGAATACCAACACAGTGCCCATTCCCCCTCCCTGCCTGGGGCACTTGTACCCACGGCTGGCAGATTTCCAATACACTATTCTATCCTTATTACTGTGAGCAAATACCTATCTTAATTCCCAAAGTGCTAAATTTTTCCCATAATATGAAGCTGCTTTGGGGAAACAGTGTGTTCTTCACATGTGTCATTTCTATGGGTGTGCTTAAGGTAAGTCATTTTTTGGTCTTGTTTTATCATCCACTGAATGGGGTATTAATGACTGCACTAATTCTCTCAAACCACGTTGTGCACTTAGAAGGATTCGTGTGTTGGGTTGAAAGTTAGGATGCTGCTGGGGGCTCCTGTTGTCGGGAGTGGGGAACCCCACTTGCAGATCAGGTTTCTGTCCTCTGAATGCCTCCAGGGTGGCAGAACCTGCCTAACACTGCACATCAAGGATCACCCCAAAATACAGGGATATTCACACTTTGGAGCACAGATTCCATAGTGAGTGGAAGGTTATAGAGAGGATTTCAGACAGTTGTTTCCTTCATATCTCAATTTGGCTTTGCCCCACCAGTAGTTGGTTTAAAGACTGCTAGTATGATAGTATAGCACATTTAAGACAACACATAGGCCTATAGAAATGTGTGCACTTATTATGTTAATGACATACACTTGCCTTTTCTCATGTCTGTCTTTGTAATGGATCTGACTGCTGTTGCTTCGTTAAATGATGGGTCATACGGAAACTTTGGAAACACCTGCAGTAGAATTTCATCTCCAGTGGAGCAAACAAAGGCATGTTAATACAGCAACGCAGGATTGATATATTTTGCTCTCTAAGTACCTAAAGCAGTCTATGAATACAGTGAATACATGACGCAAACGCCACAGATATGGGACGTTATTCCCTAAAATGCCTTGTCTTGGGAAGGAAAACTCCAATTACCTAAATCATTTCCGGAAAATTGTGATGTCTGAGACATCCTGGGCAGTAAACACTGCCCGCTAAAGATATATGGCCCCAGATCTCCTGATACTTAGTGCCCTAATAACTCTTCTGGTTTCTGTTGTCATTCTGATGCACCTTTGAGGCTGTTCGCAAGATGACTCATAAAAATAGGGTAAAGTTTGTGAGGGCACAGATGAATCAGAACAGATTCTAAAAGCTCAGAAAGCTCTTTCTTTATAAAACTGTTGCTAATTCATGAGGGTTACATTTTTGAAATACATTAAGTTCTCCTTCCCTTTTAAGTTCTCAGGCTTCTGGCTTCCCTGGGAAGAAGCAGTTTTACCTTCCCCTCTAGGCTTTCCTTGCTAAGTCACAGAAAACAGCCCTCACAAAGCCCACTCATCCTATATTTATTCTCCGTGTATTTCCAGGGCTGTTGGTCCTCGGTGGTTTCCACTCGCTTGATGTAACAGGAGCTCACCACAGAGACACCAGAAAATGAACCATTGGGGTCACCAGGACAATGAGGAGCTGCTCTCACCACCTGTCCTTGATGACCATGCTGACCTACGAGTCCCTGGAAATGCTGCCCAGAGGGAACTGCAGAGTTGAGCCGTGGCCTCCAATGCCAAGGCCCACCTGGTGTGAGCTGGGCTGGTCAGTGGACTCTTGAGGGGTGATGGGAGCTTCCCAAACCCCCAACCAGACTCCCATCTTCAGATGCAATCACTCCCCTCCTACACATATGGGGCCGAATTCAGAGACACTGGGGTCACCTGCAAGGCCGAGAACAAGGCTTCTGCCTCCTAGACAGCAGGTGCTGAGGGCACAGCTAGGGGGACTGCAAGTGCTACCTGCATCTGCTCATGCATCCCCTCCTGGTCACCTGCCAGGCAGTTGTCTATGCAGACTGCCCGAGGCCTCTGTGATGGCTCCCGTGGGGAGGAGCAAGCCCAGCGCTCCTGACACGGACAGCTGCCGGAACGGAATAGAGGCCCATCGGGTGTCGAGAGATCTGCTCCCTTGCAAGCAGGAATGAACAGGCATCGCTCTGTGATCCAAATGCCTCCTAACCCGGGGGGAAGCATCAGCGCCACTCTCCCAGTTGCTCCTTCTCACACCTAAGGTGACCCTCAACCTTCACTCCTGATGCACAGCCCAGGCACCCTCAGGAGAGACTTCACTGGCCTTTGGACAGCTTCCTTCAGCAGACAGCTGTGGTTCAGAACCCTTTTCTCCATCTCAGCTCTCTGCTAAAGAGGACTTCCTTGGGCCTTGGCTTTGCTTTGTTGTGGTGGTGGTGGTGGTGGTAAAATACACTTAACATAAAATTTCCATTTCTGCTATTTATTTAGAGACAAAGTCTCGCTGTGTCACCCAAGCTGAACTGCAGTGGTGTAATCATAGCTCACTGCAGCCTTAAACTCTTGGCCTCAAGCAATCCTCCCGCCTCAGCCTCCTGAGTAGCTGAGACTACAGGCATGTGTCACCACACATCCGGCTAATTTTTTAATTTTTTATAGAAACAGGGTCTTGCTATGTTGCCTAGGCTGGTCTGGAACTCCTGGCCTCAAGTGATCCTCCCACCTCAGCCTTGCAAAGTGTTGAAATTACAGGCATGAGCCACCATGCCTGGCCCATTTTTACTCTATTTAAGTGTACAATTAAGGGTATTCAAAACATTCACAGTGTTGTGTAAACATCACCACTGTTTATTTCCAGAACTCCAGGCTGGAGTGCAGTGGTGCAGTCTCAGCTCACTGTAACCTGTGCCTGCCAGGCTCAAATGATCCTCCCACCTCAGTCTCCCAACTAGCTGGGACTACAGGTTCACGCCACCACACCCAGCTAATTTTTTTTTAATTTTTAGTAGAGACAGGGTTTCACCACGTTGGCCAGGCTGGTCTTGAACTTCTGACCTCAAGCAATTCACTTGCCTTGGCCTCCCAAAGTGCTGGGACTGAGGCGCTCGGCTTCCAGAACTTTTAAATCAACTGAAACAGGGCCAGGCACGGTGGCTCATGCCTGTAATCCCAACACTTTGGGAGGCCGAGGTGGGCAGATCATGAGTCAGGAGTTCGAGACCAGCCTGGCCAACATGGTGAAACCCCATCTCTATTAAAGATACAAAAAATTAGCGGGGCATGGTAGCTCATGCATGTAATCCCAGCTACGCGGGAGGCTGAGGCAAGAGAATCGCTTGAACCGGGGAGGCAGGGGTTGCAGTGAGCTGATATCGCGCCATTGCACTCCAGCCTGGGTGACAGGGCAAGACTCCATCTCAGAAAAAAGAAAAAAAAAAATCGACTGAAACAGAAACTCTACACCCATTGCTATGATTTAAATGTGTCCTCAAATTTCAGGTGCTGGAAATTTGATTCCCAATGTGGTCGTCATGTTAGGAGGTAGGGCCTAATGGAGGTGTTTGGGTCATGGAAATTGTGCCCTCATTAAGAGGTTAATATGGTTATCACAGGAATGGGTTAGTTATCGTAAGAGTGCATACCATGTAAAAGGACAAGTTCAGCCCTCCCTTGCTCTCTCTTTCACCCTCTATGGCATTTCCGCTTTCCACCTCTATGGCATTTCTGCTTTCCACCATGGGATGATGACACAGCAAGAAGGTTCTTGCCAGATGCTGGCCCCTCAGTCTTGGACTTCCCAGCCTTCAGAATTGTGAGCCAATAAATTTCAACTTATTACAAATTACCTAGGCTGTGGTATTCTGTTATAACAGCACAAAATGGACATGTAGCAGCTGCACCATCTTACCTTCCCACCAGCAATGTATGAGGGTTTCAATTTCCTTCATCCTCACCAATATCTGTTATTTTTCTTTTTAAAAAAATAGCCATTCTGGCTGGGCACGGTGGCTCACACCTGTAATCCCAGCACTTTGGGAGGCCGAGGAGGGCAGATCACCTGAGGTCAGGAGTTCGTGACCAGCCCGGCCCACATGGCAAAACCCCATCTCTACTAAAAATGCAAAAATTAGCCAGGTTTGGTGGTAGGCATCTATAATCCCAGCTACTAGGGAGGCTGAGGCAGGAGAATTGCTTGAACTTGGGAGGTGGAGGTTGCAGTGATCCGAGATTGCGCCACTGCCCTCCAGCCTGGGTGACAGAGCAAGACTTTGTCTCAAAAAAAGAAAAAAAAAGGCCAGCACAGTGGCTCACGCCTGTAATCCCAGCAATTTGGGAGGCCAAAGCGGGAAGATCATGAGTTCAGGAGATTGAGACCATCCTGGCTAACACAGTGAAACCCCGTTTCTACTAAAAATACAAAAAATTAGCCGGCCATGGTGGCAGGCGCCTGTAGTCCCAGCTACTCAGGAGGCTAAGGCAGGAGAATGGCGTGAACCTGGGAGGCAGAGTTTGCAGTGAGCCGAGATCACACCACTGCACTCCAGCCTGGGCGACAGAGCGAGACTTTGTCTCAAAAAAAAAAAAAAGAAAGAAAGAAAGAAAGAAAAAAACCAAAATAGCCATTCTAGGCCGGGCGTGGTGGCTCATGCCTGTAATCCCAACACTTTGGGAGGCCGAGGTGGATGGATCACGAGGTCAGGAGATCGAGACCATCCTGGCTAACACAGTGAAACCCTGTCTCTACTAAAAATACAAAAACTTAGCCATGCGTGGTGGCGGGCGCCTGTAGTCCCAGCTACTCGGGAGGCTGAGGCAGGAGAATGGTGTGAACCCGGGAGGCGAAGCTTGCAGTGAGCCAAGATTGTGCCACTACACTCCAGCCTGGGTGACAGAACAAGACTCTGTCTCAAAAATAAAAATAAAAATAAAAAATAAAATCCATTCTAAGAAGCGTGAATAGTGATATTTTGCATTTCCCTAATGACTAATGATGTTGAGCATCTTTTTATGTGTTTATTGGCCATTTGTATATCTTCTTTGGAAAATAGCTATTCAAGTTATTTGCCCATTTTTGGAGTGGGTTGTTTGTTTGTTTTGTTGTTAAGTTACAGGAGTTTGCTGTGTCTTCTGGATATTGATCCCTCATCAGATATGTGAATTGCAAACATTTTCTCTCATTCTGTGGGAGAAATGCCTTTGATATACAACAGTTTTTAATTTTGATGATGTCCAATGTAGCTATTTTTTCTCTTTTTGCCTGCTTTTGGTGTCAGATTTAAAACATCACGTGCCTAATTCAAGGTCATGAAGATTTTCACCTATGTTTACTTCTAAGAGACTAATAGTTTAAGCTCATTAATTTAGATCTTTGACCTACTTTGAATTTTTGTATATGGTATAAGGTAATGAGCTAGCTTCATTCTTTTGCCTGTGACCTTCCAGTTTTCCCAGGACCATTTGTCGAAGAGACTGTCATTTCCACTCTGTTGGCTTTGACATCCTTGTTGAAAATCAATTGACTGGCCGGGCACGGTGGCTCATGCCTGTAATCCCAGCACTTTGGGAGGCCGAGGTGGGCGGATCACGAGGTCAGGGGATCGAAACCATCCTGGCTACCATGGTGAAACCCCATCTCTACTAAAAATACAAAAAATTAGCCAGGCGTGGTGGCGGGCGCCTGTAGTCCCAGCTACTCGGGAGGCTGAGGCAGGAGAATGGTGTGAACCTGGGAGGCAGAGCTTGCAGTGAGCTGAGATCACACCACTGCACTCCAGCCTGGGCGACAGAGTGAGACTCCGTCTCAAAAAAAAAAAAAAAAAAAAAATTAGCTGGGCATGGTGGCGCATACCTGTAATCCCAGCTACTAGGGAGGCTGAGGCAGGAGAATGGCGTGAACCCAGGAGGCGGAGCTTGCAGTGAGCCAAGATCGCGCCACTGCACTCCTGCACTCCAGCCTGGGCGACAGAGTGAGACTCCATCTCAAAAAAAAAAGAAAAGAAAAACTGACCATAGACATATGCATTTCTTTCTGAACTTTCTATTCTATTCTACTGGTCTATGTGATTAGCCTTATACTAGTATCACACTGTTTTGATAACTGTGCTTTGTAGCAAGTTTTGAAATGAGAAAGTGAAATTCCTCCAATTGTTTTCTTTTTTTTCAGGACTATTTTTGCTGTTTGAAGCATTTGAAATTCCATACGAATCTTACGGTAGATTTTTCTTTTGCTGGGAAAAAAGCCCTTGAGATTTTGATAGGGATTATATTGAATGTGCAGATCACTTTGGGCAATTTTGACATCTTTTTTTTTTTTTTTTAATAGATACCAGGTCTTATTGTGTTGCCCAGGCTGGATCTCAAACACCTGGGCTCAAGTGATCCTCTTGCCTCAGCCTCCCAAGTGCTAAGATTACAGGTGTGAGCCATCATGCCAGGTCAATTTTGACATCTTAACAATATTAAGTTTTTCAGTCCATGAACATGAGATTCTTTGTTTCTCTATTTTCTTTTATCAGTGCTTTGTAGTTTTCAGTACTGGTATAAGTCTTTCACTTTCTCGGCTAAGTTTATCTCTAAGTATTTTATTCTTTTTGATATAATCGTAAATGGAATTAATTGTTCTCATATCTTGTTTGGATTATTAGTGTATATATCGTTAGTGTATAAAAACACAGCTGATTTTTGTGTGTTCAATTTGTACCCCACAACTTTGCTAAATGCATTTACTGGTTTTAATATGTTTGTGTGTGTGTGTGTGTGTGTGTGTGTGTGTGTGTGTGGAGTCTATATGGTTTTCAACATATAAGATCAAGTCATCTGCAACCAGAGATAATTTTATTTCTTCCTTTCTGATTTGGATGCCTCATTTCTTTTTTTTGCCTAATGACTCTGGCTATGACTTCCAGTACTGTATTGAATAGAATTGGTGAGAGCAGGCATCCTTGCCTTGTTCCTGATCTTTGAGGAAAGCTTTCAGTCTTTCAACATTGAGCACGATATCATCCATGGGTTTTTCAAACAGGCTTTTATTACGTTTTGGTAGTTTCCTTCTATCTCTAGTTTGTTGAGTGTTTTGGTTTTTTTTTTCAATCATGAAAGGGTGTTGAATTTTGTCAAATGCTATATCTGCATCAATTGAAATGATATTTTTTCTCCTTCATTATATTAATGTGGTATATTACAGTGATTGATTTTTATTATGTTCAACCATCCTTCTGTTCCAGAAATAAATCCTTCTTGGTCTGGTGTATAGTCCTTTTAATAGGCTATTGGTTTTGGTTTGCTAATGTTCTGTTGAGGATTTTTCTGTTTATATTTACAAGAGACATTTGTTTTTAGTCTTCTTGTAGTGACTTTGTCTGCCTTTGGTATCAGGGCCATACTCCATACTGGCCTCTTAGAGTAAGCCAGGAAGTGTTTCTTCCTCTTCAGCTTCTTGGAAGGGTTTGAGGACTGGTGTTAGTTCTTATTTATAGCTTTTGTAGATTTTGCCAGAGAACACATCTAATTCTAGACTTTCTTCGTTGGAAAATTTTGATTACTGATTCATTCTCCTTACTTGTTATGTGTCTATTCAGATTTTCTTATTTCTTCTGGAGTCAATTTTGGTAGTTCGTGTGCTTCCAGGAATTTTAAAATTTCATCTAGGTCATCCAATTTGTGAGCATACAAATGTTTATATTCTTCTCTCATTAAATGCTTTCTATTTCCAGAAAATTAGTAGTAATATTCCCACTCTAATTTCTGAATTCATAATGGATCCTCTTCTTTCTTCACCTATCTAGCTAGAAGTTTGTCAATTTTGTTGGTCTTTTTAAGTAACTAATTTTGGGTTTCATCAGTTCTCTTCTATTGTTTTTCTGTTATTTCACTTCTTTCCTCTGTATACTTTACTATTTCCTTCTTTCTCCTAGCTTTCAACTTAATATGCTGTTCTTTTTCTAGTTCCTTTAGGTGTACAATTAGGTTATTTATTTAAGATCCCCCCCCTTTTTTTTTTGAGACAGAGTCTTTCACTGTTGCCAGGCTGGAGTGCAGTGGCACCATCTCGGCTCACTGCAAGCTCCGCCTCCTGGGTTCATGCCATTCTCCTGCCTCAGCCTCCCAAATAGCTGGGACTACAGGCGCCCGCCACCACGCCCAGCTAATTTTTTGTACTTTTAGTAGAGACAGGGTTTCACCGTGTTAGCCAGGATGGTCTCGATCTCCTGACCTCGTGATCCGCCCGCCTAGGCCTCCCAAAGTGCTGGGATTACAGGCGTGAGAAGATCCTCTTTTTTAATGAATGCATTTATATCTATAAATCTCCCTCTTGGCATTGCTTTCACTGCATCCCAAGTTTTGGCATGTTGTGTTTAATTTGCACTTATCTCAAGGCAGTTTCTAAATTCCCTTGTGATTTCTTCTTTGACCCATTGATTATTTAAGAGTGTGTTGCTTAATCTCCATGTGTGTAAATATTCCAGATTTCCCTCTGTTGTAGATTTCTAGTTTCATTCCATTGTGATCTGAAAAGATACTTTGTATTATTTCAGTCTTTTTCAATTAATGAAGATTTGTGTCCTAACATATGGGCTATCCTGGCAAATATTCCATATGCTCTTGAGAAGAATACATATTCTTCTGTTGCTGGGTGGATTGTTCTGGATATGTCTGCTAGGTCTAATTGGTTTAGAGTGCTGTTCAAGTCTATTCCTTTACTTACTGTTCCTCTGTACAATTCTTTTTTTTTTTTTTTTTTTTTTTTTTTGAGATGGAGTCTCGCTCTGTCTCCTGTGCTGGAGTGCAGTGGCGCCATCTCGGCTCACTGCAACCTCTGCCTCCCTGGTTCAAGTTATTCTCCTGCCTCAACCTCCCAAGTAGCTGGGACTATAGGCGCATGCCACCATGCCCAGCTAATTTTTGGGGTTTTTTGGTTTTTGTTTTTTTTTGAGACGGAGTCTCGCTCTGTCTCCCAGGCTGGAGTGCAGTGGCGCAATCTCGGCCCACTGCAAGCTCCACCTCCCGGGTTCATGCCATTCTCCTGCCTCAGCCTCCTGAGTAGCTGGGACTACAGGTGCCCACCACCACGCCTGGCTAATTTTTTGTATTTTTAGTAGAGATGGGGTTTCACCGTGTTAGCCAGGATGGTCTCGATCTCCTGACCTCATGATCCGCCCGCCTCGGCCTCCTAAAGTGCTGGGACTACAGGCGTGAGCCACCGCCCCTGGCCTCTTCTGTCTAGTTCTATTCATTATTGAGAGGAGGATACTGAAGTCTCCAACTATCCTTGTCTCTCATAAACCATGTGGTTTAACATCTATTTTGTCTGAAAATAATACAGCCACCTCAGCTCTCTTTTGGCTATTATTTGCATGAAATACATTTTCCATTCTTTTACTTTCAACCTCCTTGTATTCCCTAAGTGAATCTCTTGGAGACAGTAGATACATGGACAGGTTTTTAAATCCAATTTGCAAATCTCTGCCTTTTATTAAGAGTTTAATCCATTTAAATTTAATGTGATTACTGATTAAAAAGTATTTAATCTGCCATTTTGCTCTTTTGTTTTTGTTTTTGAGATGGAGTCTCACTCTGTCGCCCAGGCTGAAATGCAGTGGCATGATCTCGGCTCACTGCAACCTCTGCCTCCCATGTTCAAGTGATTCTCCTGCCTCAGCCTCCCAAATAGCTGGGATTACAGGCATGCACCATCACGCTCAGCTAATTTTTGTGTTTTAGTAAAGACGGGGTTTCACCATGTTGGCCAGGCTGGTCTTGAACTCCTGAGCTTAAGTGATCTGCCCACCTTGGCTTCCCAAAGTACTGGGCTTACAGGCGTGAGCCACCAGGCTCAGCCATTTTGCTATTTGTTGTGTATATGTGTGTTGTGTTTTTGGTCATTTAGGGGTTTGTGTTTTGTGTGTGTTTTCTTTTGCTCGTCATTCCCCCATTACTGCTTTTTTTAAAAGTTGGTTCTTTATAATGTTCCATTCAACTCTTTATTTCTTTTTCTTTTTTTTCTTTTTTTTTTTTTTTTGAGATAGAGTTTCACTCTTGTTGCCCAGGCTGGAGTGCAATGGCGTGATCTTGGCTCACGGCAACCTCCGCCTCCTGGGTTCAAGCAATTCTCCTGCCTCAGGCTCCCGAGTAGCTGGGATTACAGGCACCTGCTGCCCGGCTAATTTTTGTATTTTTAGTAGAGATAGGGTTTCATCATGTTGGCCAGGCTGGTTTCAAACTCCTGACCTCAGGTGATCCCCCCACCTCAGCCTCCCAAATGGCTGGGATTACAGGCATAAGCCACCCTGCCTGGCTTCGACTCTTTCTTTTACTCTTTTGTTCCATATTTTTTTAGTTATTATTTACTGGTTACCTTGGAAACACCTAAACTAGTTAAAATTTGTTTAAACTTAAACACCTAGTATCTTAAATTTTTAACAACTTAGCTTGAATAGTATCAACTTAGTTTCAATAGTATACAAACACTCTGCACACATATATCTCTATTCCCTTCCCTTTATATTGTTGTTATTACAGAGTCTATCTTTATACACTGTATGACCATTAACAGATGTGTAATTATTATTTCATGCATTCACCTTTTAAATCATATTTTTAAAAGGCAGAAGTTATAGATGAAACCTAAAGTACAATAAGACTTTTAGAGCTAGTAGTTACCTTTACCAGCATTTTTTTTTTTCTTATGTCAAGTGACTGTTAAATGTCCCTTCATCTCAGCCTGAAGGGCTCTCTTTGCCATTTCTCATAAGGCGGGTCTCTCAGCTTTTGTTTACCTGAAAATGTTCTGTTTCTCTTTTATTCTGGAAAGATAATTTTGTCAGATAGAGAATTCTTGCTTGACAGTATTTTCCTTTTTACTTTTTTTTTTTTTTTCCAAGAAAGGATCTCACTCCCATCACCCAGGCTGGAATGCAGTGGGGCAATCTCAGCTCACTGCAGCCTGGACTTCCCAGGCTCAGGTGATCCTCCCACCTCAGTGTGCTGAATAGCTGGGACTACAGGTGTGCACCATCACACCCAACTAATTTTTTTTTTTTTTTTTTTTTAGTAGAAACAGGGTTTTGCCGTATTGCCCAGGCTGGTCTCGAATTCCTGGGCTCAAGTGATCTGCCCACGTCAGCCTCCCAAAGTGCTGGGATTACAGGAATGAGCCACCATGCCCTGCTGATTACATTATTTTTCTTTCAGAACTTTGAATGTGCCATCCTACTGCCTCCTACCCTCTGTGGTTGTTGCGGAGAAATGAGTGGTGAATTTTATTGAGGGTTCCTTTTATGCTGAGTCACTTATCTGTTACTGCTTTCAAGATTCTCTTTGTGTCTGGATTTTGACAATTTGCTAATAATGTGTTTCACTGTGAATCTCTGAGTATTCTGCTTGGAGTTCATTGAGTAACTTGAATGTGCACATTCATGTCTTTCAACATATTCAGGAAGTTTGGGGCTATTCTTCATTCAAACATTGTCTTCATATCTCTCTGTCTTTCCCTTCTGAGACTCCCATAATGTATATTTTAGTATGCTTGATGGTGCCCCACAAGTCCCACATGTTCAATTCATTTTCTTTTTTTTTTTTCTTTCTGCTTCTCAGGCTGGATACTTTCAATGTCTTATCTTCAAGTGTGCTGATCCTTTCTTTTTTTTTTTATTTTTTTGAGGCAGAGTCTTGCTCTGTTGCCCAGGCTGGAGTGCAATGGCGCGATCTCGGCTCACTGCAAGCTCTGCCTCCTGGGTTCATGCCATTCTCCTGCCTCAGCCTCCCGAGTAGGTGGGACTACAGGCACCCACCACCACGCCCTGCTAATTTTTTGTATTTTTAGTAGAGACGGGATTTCACCGTGTTAGCCAGGATGGTCTTCATCTCCTGACCTCATGACCCATCTGCCTCGGCCTCCCAAAGTTCTGGGATTACAGGCATGTGCCAAGTATTCATTTATTACACTTTTCAGCTCTAGAACTTTTCTTTGGCTCTTTTCAATAATTTCTATCTCTTTATTGATATTATTTTATTTATACATTGTTTTCCTGATTTCCTTAAGTTATTTGTTCATGGTCTCCTTTAGTTCAGTGAACATTTTGAAGATGGTTGATTTAACATCTTGTGTAATAATTTTAATTCCCAGGTTTCCTCAGGAACAAGTTCTGCCAAATTCCTTTTTCCTGTGAATGAGCCATCCTTTCCTGTTTCTTTGTATGTTTTATAATTTTACGTTGAGAGATGGACATTCTGTGTATTACATTTTGATAACTCTGGAAATCTAATCCTCTCTTTCAGTGATTGTTGATTTTTGCTTATTGAAGGCTGAAGCCATCTTTTTGTAACTTTTCCAAACTAGTTTTGCAAAGTGCGTACTTCTTGTTGTGTGAAAGTGCTGAATTTTCTGTTTTCTTATCTCTGAAGTTAGTCAATGACCTGATAAAAGTTTCCTTAAGTGTCTATCTCCAAAAAGAGAAAAACAAAAAACATTATTTCCTTAAATCCCCTCAACAGGGCTGCTTGGAAGCCTCTTCAGCCCATAGAGTTTTTTAACTGGCATTTAATAATGCCAGTTAAAACAACTGTCAGTTTTAGTGCTAGCCCCTTGGAGCTCTAAAGTAGCAATCAGCAATCAAAATACGCGCCCTGAGTTTTAGAAGACAGGTCTCTATTGCCCACCCTGGCACCAGCAATCCTCACTAGGAATGTGGACTGCTATCCACACTGCTGCCCGTCACAGGGCTTGGGAATGGAGGATGGCAGCCACTACCCAAAATGTTGAAATTCGGCAGCCTCTTCATCAAGCTCACTCTTGGACACTGCAAGTGTTCTACTAGACACCAATATTCCATAGCTACTTAACATAGTTCTTGCCAGCTCAGTTGTTGTTTTGGTAAAGGGACAGATTCCTGGAGCTCCCCACCCCACCATCTTCCATCTGGGCCTTAGTTTTTCTCAAATAGTAAATTAGAGGCTTGGGGTAGATGAATGAGTCACAGCCTAGAATCACCTGAAGGGCTTTAAAACCTAGTGATGCAAAGGTCTCACCCCATCTCACAGAATCTGATCACTGAAAGTGAAACAAGATGTCTCTCTCTTTTTTTTTAATAGACAGTACAGCTCTGATGCCCAGGCTGGAGTACAGTGGCACAATCATAGCTCATGGCAGCCTCAAACTCCTGGGCTCAAAAGATCCTCCCACCTCAGCCTCCCGAGTAGCTGGGACCACAGGCACATGCCACCACACTTGGCTAATTTGTCGTGTGTCGGGGAGGGGGGCGTTTTTTTAGTGTTTTTTGATATGTTGCTGAGGCTGGTCCTGAACTTCTGTCCTCCAGCAATCCTCCCACCTTGGCCTCCCAAAGCACTGGGATCATAGGTATGAGGCACCGCACCCGGCCAAGGGGTGTCTTTTTTTTTTTTTTTTTCTTTTTTTTTTTTTTTGAGATGGAGTCTTGCTCTGTCGCCCAGGCTGGAGTGCAGTGGCATGATCTCGGCTCACTGCAAGCTCCGCCTCCCGGGTTCAAGCAATTATCCTGCCTCAACCTCCCGAGTAGCTGGGATTACAGGTGCACACCACCATGCCCAGCTAATTTTTGTATTTTTTGAGTAGAGATAGGGTTTCACCATGTTGGCCAGGCTCATCTCGAGGGCCTGGGGTGTCTCTTTTAAACAGTCTCCCCAGGGTATTCTCACACTACCAGATGGTAGCCCTGCTCCTGCTCCATAGATCACTCTTTGAGGAGCAGGATCCTTTCCAGGTGTTTATTTTCCACGTTTAGCTTAATTTATCGAGGTTTTGACTCATAGAGAAACAGATTCTAGCCTCAAGGCAAAGCACTTGCTTTCCCCTCAAAGCAGCAGGAACAGGCTACTTGAGAGACAACCAGGGACAAGCATGCAACTCTTCAAACACAGGCTAAAGGCTTCATAGCAGGAGGCTACTTACCAAATATTTTAGCCAAATGTTCCTCTCGCTCATTTGAACCTGATGCAAATGCAGCATTGTTCAAGCTCTTCTGTTGGGAATAGCCTAAGGGAAAATAAACCATGGCTGTGATTAAGTCTTTCATTGGGTCTGCAGCTGTTCCCTTCAGATTGATACTCTTCTGCACGGGATTTTGAGGTGAGCATCATGCACTTGGCCTGAACCCACCTATTCTGAGTGTCACAGAGCATTCATGAAGTGTCTGCAAGCATCTGAAGTTCCAACACAACACCAGGGGCTAAGCTCATTTTCACATAGTCTGTTGACAGACAATATGCATAAGCATTGAGAGATTTGTGCACATGGCAGGTTTAATGCTACAGGAAAACGGGTAGAAAGGCCTACATGGTGTATGGCAAATGATTTCAAGTACAACCACTTTGATCCAATAAATGACAATGCACAGTTCTCTGTTAATAAGACACTGATAAATCATTAAGAATAGACATACTTAATCATGCAAGCACTTTGCTAAAAATGTGTTCCTCAAAATGTATCTGCCAAGGGAGCATCATAAAACATGGTGCAGGGCAAGCTATTGAGATTATGCAGTGAAATATTCATATGTTTTCTCAATGGCTTATGGAATGCATTGGCAGAGTGATTAGTTACTAAATTGCTTTACTGAGAGTCTTATAATTCCTGGCACACATAGCTGGCTTATTCTGATAACTAATTACTCATTGTTACTTTTCTTCCTAATTCACATGATGTCCACCTTACAAGGTTTCTCTTTTCTTCATGTGATTTGGGGTTAATATGCATTATTTTTGCATATGTGGCCAGCTGCTTCCTCTCAGCATTGGCACTGGAGCATCAGTGCTGGAAGAGAAATCAGCTCTGCTTCTCTGGGCAAATATTTTACAGAGGATGAGGTGGAATGATGGCAGAGGTGACAGGGAGGGACGCAGGAAGACATTACTCTCCCAAGCCGGTGACTTGGGCACTCCTGGGCAGTGACCTATAAAGCGCTGGTGAACAGAAAGTGATTACACTTCTCATAGCTCCTGTTACAAGGAACAGTGAACCCCACTTGCAAACCGGGTTTCTGTCCTCTGCACAGCCTCCAGAGTGGCAGAACATGCCTGACACTGCACGTCAGGGATCACCCCAAAATACAGGGATATTCACACTGAAGCCTATAGACTCCCATATTGGGAGGAAGACTGTAGAGGGGATTTCAGAGAGTTCTTCACATCTCAGTTTGGCTTTGCACCCCCTCCACCACAGTAGTTAATTTAAGGAATGCTAAAATGCTAGCATCGCATATTTGAGATAACACAGAGGTCTGTAGAGGTATGTACACATGTCAGGTTAACGACATATACTTGCTTTTTTGTGTGTCTCTCTTTGTAATGGATCTGACTGCTGTTCTTGTTTCATCAAATGATGGGTCATACGGAACCTTGGAAAACACTTGGAGCACAATTTCATCTCCAGTGAAGCAAACAAAGGCATGTTAATATCAGCAATATTTTGCTAAGTACCTAAAGCAGACTATGAATACAATGAATGCATGACACAAACTCAATGGATATTGGACATCATGCTGTAAATGCCTTGTCTTTGGGAAGGAAACTCCAACTACCTAAATCATTTCCAGAACATTTTAATGGCATGAGACATTTGGGGCAGCAAACACCGCCCACTAAAGATATATGACCCCAAATCTCATGATACTCAGTGCCATAATTCTCCTTCTTCTTCCTCTTGTCATTCTGCCACACAAGCACTGGGGAGGCCCCCAATGATATCAGAGAAGCGGGCCTTTCCCGACCTCCTGCGCCAAAGCCACAGTGGCCTCCCCCAGATTGCTATGACAGAAGGAAAATAAACCACTCTTTGTTTAAGCCACTATACGTCAGGTTTTCAGGAAATTGCAGCCAGGTGCATTCTTAACCGGTACAGCAACTATGGCAA